>NC_000012.12:103217703-103520734 GCF_000001405.40 Homo sapiens | reverse complement strand
CATTATTTCAGTTAAGTTTTTGTTAGTTTTATTTTTTTTTTCATTATGTTTTTGAGACAGAGTCTGACTGTCAACTGGGCTGGAGTGCAGTGATGTGATCATAGCTCACTGCAGTTGTGAGTTCCTGGGCTTCGGTTATACTCCTTCCTCAATCCCCAACAACTAATTTTAAAAAGATTTGTTGTTGTTGTTGTTGTTGTTGTTGTTGTTAGGGGCAGAGGTCTTATTATGTTGCCCAGGCTGGTCTCAAACTTCTGGCCTCAAGCCATCCTCTGACTTGGGACTCTCAAAGTTCTGGGATTACAGGCATGAGCCACTGCACTTGACTTTTATTTTTTAAAATAATAAAAAATAGATATTCTGGGAGGAGTGTATATTATAAGGTTACATTTAGGTAAACAGAGGGAACACACAGGAGGTATTTCACAGGCCAGGCTGATGATCTCAACACTCTGCCCCTGGGGTCCCAATAGAATGAAATTGCCCCATCACCACTCTCTCCTAATGTCCTCGCCTGGGACTACATGTGCCCAGGAGTTGTGGGTAGTTTGTTCCCTTATAAGGGGTACAGGCACACCATACATCATGGCTTTCCCTCTTCTATGACCACCTATTCTGAGTCTTGTGGATCATTCATATTCACTGCTCACCCTCCACGTTAGTCAAGTGGGACTTCTTTGTCACTTTGAGGAATGCCTGTGGCCGCTCCAGCATTTGCCTCATCCCTGTTTGCATCCAGACATCTCCCTGTGGTGCCCATCTCGTTCCATCATCAGAGTCCAATGTCCTTTGTCTTCTTCCCTCCTCTTTCTGTAAACTTGCTCTCAGGATGAGCCCTCACAACCACCACTTCCATCTCAACATGGGTTATTCAGATCCATGACCTTTTCAGCCTCATTCCTCATGGCTGGTTTCTGGAATTTCCTGACTCCAGTCATCTGTGGGGAGATGTATGTGGGTGGCTGGGAGGAATTTGTGTCTGGAAATGGGTTGGAGGGGTAGATGGAGGGGTGAGGGGCTTCCTAGGACCATGAAAATGACATGGATAGGCAGCCTCTTTCTCCATTAAAGCACAAGGCCATGTTCTTATGTTTTTTTCTGTATGGGCCTGATATTTATTGTTTGCTTATTGTAGTCCAGGTTTGTGCCCCCTTTCCAAAAATGTCATCACATTAACTAGATGAGAAGTACACCATTCTATTCTGTGGATGAGGAAATAGACCTAGAGGGTTAAGTAATTTGTCCAATATTATATAATTTCTAGGTGCTGAACCAAGATTCCATTCCAGGCAGTAAAAACATATCTATTGAGATGAATTAAATTACTGTCTGCTTAGTACATGGTACTAAGTATCTAGTAAGGTGAACTTGGTGCTTTGGGACATAGTATGAAGTGTAGACTTTAAATCAACTCTCAACACATGACTAATATATTCTTCCATTTTCATACTGCTATAAAGAACTGCTCGAGATTGGGTGATTTATAAAGGTAAATGGTTTAATTGATTCACAGTTCTGCATGGCTGGCAAGACCTCAGGAAACTTGCAATCATGGCAGAAGATGAAGAGAAAGCAAGGCACCTTCTTTACAAGGTGGCAGAAAGGAGAAGTGCCAAGCAAAAGGGGAAGAACTCCTTATGAAACCATCAGATCTCATAAGAACTCACTCACTATCATGAGAACAGCATGAGGGAAAACACCCCCATGATTCAATCACCTCCACCTGGTCTCTCCCTTGACATGGGGGGTTACGGGGATTACAATTCAAGGTGAGATTTGGCTGGGACACAAAGCCTCACCATATCAACTAAATGCAGAATCTGGATTTCAGAAGGGATTTAGGTTCAGATCCAGATTTTTATTTCTTAGTAGTTGTGTGATCTTGAGTACGTTATTTAAATAAACCTCATATTGTAAAGATGGGAAGTAGGATGTAAAAGAAATAATAAAGAGATCAGGATGCCTGGAAGGGAAGGTTTGGACAGAAGAAATACGGATTAAAAAAGATAGATTGGAATTCATAGAGGGTTTTTGTCATTTGTGGCTGCCTGCTATGTTTGAACATTTCTCTATACAGTGTGAAAGTTTCTAACTTTATATGTCCTTTTCAAGGACATATTCAGGGCAAAAACACATCTCTGGACTCCCTTGTACCTGGGATGCAGGTGTGTGGCTTAGGTTCTGCCAGTTGGGACCACCCATATAAGACTTGATTCAGAGGATAAAAATGTCGTCACATGTGGGAGTTTGCCCTACTTAAGGGAGAGTCAGTCTTCTGGGCATGGCGGGGGCAATGGTGTCCACTTCATCTGGGGCATTGGCAGAAGAGTTTCTGGCGTCTAGTCCCAAGGAGGATTGATGCTGAATGGTGGTGGTAGTGACATTTCACTAGAGAATCCAATGGGATGGCTTGGTTTCCTGGCTAAATGGCTTCAGTTTCTGGCTCCTTGGCCCTCAGATTCCATGAGCTACCTGGCTTCTTTTAATACATTCCTATTCTGCTTAAACTAGCCAAAATATATTCTGTTATTTGCAACCAAGAACTCTGACCATACATCAGTAGACTGTGGCAGGCCTGTGAGCCAATTGATGGCTTGAAGTTCAAAGTAACATCTGTGTATCTTCTCATGATTTACAATTTCTGTAACTCTTATATTCTGATAAACGAGTTTTAATTTCTGCTGGGCCTTCAGTGGCATTAAGATATTCCTACTGCTTTTTGAATATTGCTCATATTTTTTCACTTTCTGATTCATGATGTTAAAAACAACCACAAAAATGGAGTTATAATCCATAAACATGCCAGCAATTTACACACTCCTTTAGAAAAAAGAAAATAAAAAAATTAAAATTTTTTATTTTCTGTGGGTTTTCTTTCAAATCTTAAAAATGTCCTCTGTGACTCTTTATAGTTTTATTCTTTTCTCTGAGCAGCGCCTTGCTAAAAGCCATCAAGGAAAGCTAAATGCTGGAGATGGGAGGTTGATAACAGAGAAACATAAGCAACATACAATCCAGTTTGAGAAAAAAGACATTCTCATTGAAAAAAAATAATTCAAAGCATAGCTCAAGGCAATACACTTCCCAAAGGCCATCCTCTCTTGTACCACTGTGGTGTCTTTTAATAAAAAAAAATCAGAAAAGAAGTGTTGGTTCATCTAACTCTCCAACCACTTACCTAAAAAGGTCTAATGTAATTTGTGTAATCCATCAGGTGGCTCCTGCCACTCTTTGAACTTCAGGTGGACTGACAACATTTCATGTTTGGCATCAGCAAAGGCATTTCAAAGGCCTTTACTATTTATTCTACCCAAATCTCATGGGTAAGTCATCCAGGCTGCAGACTGTATGCTTCTCAATTCATGGTGCGGTTTCTGCAGGGATGTTGACTCACAGATGGAAGGGACAATGTGGATATGTAATTCTGATTAATTCCTAAACTCGTTTGACTAGCGTCAGTAGAAAAAGCAACTTGTCTGCCTTACCCAGTAAGTTCTCAAGTATACAGGCTTGGATGTATATGTGTTTACAAAAAAACCAAAAACCAAAAACCAATACACAAAAAACACCTCTTTCCCTGTGTTTTATCCTATCCAGCTGCTCCATCCCATTGGTCTTATTATGTCACCAACCTGATTTTTTGCCAAAGTTCTTCCTTATGTTGACATGTTACCACAGTGCAGAGAATAGTTTTAATGCACAGCCTAGTTTAAGCAGCCTTGTTTGATTCATGTCCTGGTCTTTCTTGGTAGTCCCTTTAATAGCTCTCAGGCAGGTGGTTTCTTTCCAGGATTTTGTTGCTCTATGGTCTGTTCCTATGTTCAAAACTATGCAAGAACCCGTGCTCTCTATTATATCAGGTAGAAGACTATTTGTGTGATACCAATAACTATGTTTTCTTATTGCTTTTGTCATTTGTTTACCTTCCTATTATAAAGTCCTGTTTTTCTTCAGACATTTAAGCATGTTTGATATGGTTTGGCTCTGTGTCCCCACCCAAATCTCATCTCAAATTGTAATCCACATGTGTTAAGGGAGGGACCTGGTAGAAAGTGACTGGGTCATTGGGGCTGTTTCCTCTGTGCTGTTCTCATGATAGTGAGTGAGCTCTCATGAAATCTGATGGTTTTATAAGTGGTAGTTTCCCCTGCTCTTCTCTCTTCTGCCACCATGTAAGACATGCCTGCTTCCCCTTCAACCATGATTGTAAGTTTCCAGAGGCCTCTCCAGCCATGTGGAACTGTGAGTCAATTAAACCTCTTTTCTTTATAAATTACCAGGTCTTGGGCATTTCTTTATAGCAGTGTGAGAACAGACTAATATAATGTTTATAAAATGCTATTTGAACTTGAATATGTATCATATGGTCTATGTTGCTTTCCATCAGGTTTACTCCTAAGTTATTTGTATATGGAATCTTTGTTTTAATCTCCTTTTGGGAAAATACTAATTTTTATAGAAACAAAATGAAAATTGTCTCTTTCTGTTTGTTCATTTTAAATTAAGATAAAAACTACAAGTGATAGTGGCTTCTTTGAATGATTGGCTAGCCACAGGCTGATTATATTATGTCCTTTAGTTATGATGGTAAATATTAAATGGCACATCAAGTTATTAACTTCTCATGTTTACAGATCCCCATCATGATTTTGTTGCAGTAATTTTAAAGAAGTATATCCAATTTTTGTTAAACCAAACTTCCAAGTACTATCTATACTGCATCATATCTCTATAACCAAGCAAAAAACTCAATCCAGCACGTGCATCTACTCTCATTCATCTTTCTTACACATGACATTAGCTAGAGTACAAATATATTATTTAGTCTTTCTCTAAGTGAAATCACCAGTGATTAAGAATCCTATTTGCCTTATAAAATGGACATTAATAGCCCTTCTTTCTTTTAAAAAATAGATTATTCTATTATGTATAAACCATCATGTAAAATATTACATATGATAGCTTGCTTTCTTGTTCCAGTGAAACATTTCTTTTTATTTAATGCAGTCTTGCACATACAACTCAGCATACATTTGAAAGTAGACAGTTTGAAAACATAATATTTGTAGTTCATTTTTTTGGAACCACCCCTTCTATAGCAGTTAAAGGCCTTGATTTGCACTTCACTGATGAGAGGCCAGAGCACTGAGGGATTTAGCTTTTCAAGCCTAGATTCAACTCCAATGTGCTGGAATGGAATACAAAGTACAGCTCTGCATTCATTATCACTTAATTATACAACTAGTTGGGTTTTCAAAGGAATTTTCCTCCCCAAAGCAAATCTGTGCCAGGTGCTTTTGTTTTCCTGAAATGACATTTTCATATTAAAACAATTTTGAAGTCTTCCTGTTGCAAACTCAGAAACATTCTTATGTCACTTTTTCCCTAAGGATCTCCTGCTTTGATTTAAGAGCACAGGTCACTATGCATTTTTTTACCTCAAGAAGTTGTTCTTAAATGTAAAACAGCAACAATATTTTTTGCCTTTTAAATGATTAGCCAAAAAGGAAGACAATTCAACTCAGTTTGTGCTTCTCTGATTTTATATTTATTGCAAGTTTAAGAATAATGAAATCTGAGAACAATGAATATTTACATTAATATAGGGGTTTTCAACCTCAACACTATTGATAGTTGGAGCTGGATAATTCTTTGTTGTGTGGGGTGTCTTGTACATTACAGGATGTTTAGCAGTGTCCCTGGCCTCCACCCATTAGATGCCAGTGTTACTCTCCCCACTTCCCACCCCATACCAGTCATGACAACCACAAAGTTCCCTTGACATTGCCAATTATCTCAGGGTAAGGGTAGGGGGCAAAATGGTCTCTGAGAATTGAGAACCACTATGAGGGACTAAACTAATAATTATTTGTGTGCTATCGTCTTGAACTCCTCTATAGGTATATTTGGGAATTCTGTTGTTCATTTTAATTCATATGGCAGACTTCTAATTGCCAATTTGGATTTAGGGGTTTTATACTATTTATCTTGTATAGAATTGTCTGAGGGCAACATCTCTCAGCTTTGGTTCTTGCCCCCAGACAATACCCAGTGAACTGTTTTCTGTGCAACAGCTATAGTGCTCTTTTAAAAAGTCAGATCATATATTTTCTCTGTTCAAAAGCCTCCAGTGGTGCCACTTTACTCAGAGTAAAAGCCAACGTTCTTATGATGTCTACAAGGCCCTGAAGCATCTGACTTTGTCTCCCATACTCCTTCCCCATGGGGCCCCAGTCACATTAGTCTTGGTGTTCCTAGGCCCTGCCCTGCACACTTGTACCCTGGAGCTTTTGCATTAGCTCTTCCCGTCTTCCAGGAAGACGGTTCCCTTAGAGAGTTGCATCCATCTTGCAGTTTCTTCCAGTTCCTGCTCAAATGCTGCCTTTTCAGAGAGGTCTCCCCTGTCAACCCATCTGATATGGTTTGGCTGTGTCCCATCCAAATCTCATCTTGAATTGTAGTTCCCATAATCCCCACATGTTGTGGGAAGGACCAGGTAGAGATAATTAAATCATAAGGGCGGTTTCCCCCATCCTGTTCTTGTGATAGTGAGTGAGTTCTCATGAGATCTGATGGTTTTATAAGGGGCTTCCCCCTTCACTGGGCTCTCATTCTTCTCCTTCCTGCAGCCATGTGAAGAAGGACATATTTACTTGCTTTTCTGCCGTGATTGTTAAGTATCCTGAGGCCTCCCCAGCTAAGCTGAACTATGAGTCAGTTAAACCTCTTTCCTTTATAAATTACCTAGTCTCGGTTTTGTCTTTATTCACAACATGAGAATGGATTAATACACCATCCTTTCTCTCTATTCCCTTTATCCTTTTTATTTTTCTCCAAAACACTTGTTATCACAAAGCATAGCATATACTTGTTTTTTTTTTTAGTTTTCCTCACTGAAATGCATGCACCAGAAGGCAGACACTGGCTCTTATTAATGGCTGTGTCCTAGTGCCTGGCACATTCATTTGTCCAGCATGTATTTGTTGTTCAATAAACACTTGTTGAAGGATTGAATGCTTTTTCTGTTAAATAAATCTAGTTCAAGTGGGGCCTGATTCTCAGTCTTAACTTTTTTTCCCCAGTTAGAGTCCTGCAGGTCCAGAGTTGGATTATAACTTATACTCAGAGAAAGACCCCATTTTCTAATCTGAGAGTGAAAGCTTTTTCTTTTTTTGGTTGAGGGGAAGGCTGATCATAAAGTTTGGTTGTATTAATCAGGACTTTTTCATTTGCAAGAGACAGAAAATCCAACTCAGACAGGCTTAAGCAAAGAGGGGAGTATTTGTTCACATAACTAAAATCCAGTGATCTATCTGGCTTTAGACATGGCTGGACTAGCTGTGAAGTCATATTCTTAAGAATGTTTTTCTTTTTTTCTTAGCTCTGCTTCCTTTCCTGTGGTTCCATTCTCTTTCCATATTATGGCAAAAATGGCCAAATAGAGCTATAGGTTCTCCTTCTACCAGCAAATCCTACAGAAAGAGAGTTCTTTTTCCCTAGGGTTCCTGCAAACATTCTGACTCTCCTTGCCTGGCCGGGGTCACAGGTCCTTCTCTGAACCATTTACAGTGCCAGCTCCGGAACACCTGCCTCATTGGAGCCACAGGAACTGACCTGGATGGGGAGCATTTCTCCAAGGGAATATCAGCAAGCTTTTTACCTGAAGGAGGAGCAGTGGAATGCTGGGCTGGCAGAGGAGTGGGTGTCTACTATCTACTTTTTTTTTTTTTTTTGATATGGAGTCTCACTCTGTCGCCCAGGCTGGAGTGCAATGGCGCAATCTCAGCTCACTGCAGCCTCTGCCTCCCGGGTTCCAGTGATTCTCCTGCCTCAGCCTCCAGGGTAGCTGGGATTACAGGCACCCACCACCACGCCTGGCTAATTTTTGTATTTTTAGTAGAGACGGGGTTTCACCATGTTGGCCAGGATGGTCTCAATCTCCTGACCTCGTGATCCACCCGCCTTGGCTTCCCAAAGTGCTGGGATTACAGGCATGAGCCACTGCAGCCAGCCTACTCTCTTCTTAAGGATCAACTTCTCCCCTAACCACCACAACAGCAATCCTTACGAGTTCTCAAAGTCTCATTGAAGGGCACACCATATGGGTCATGTTCTTTTTCTTGAGAAAAAATTGATATACAATTTCTGCCCATTTTATGAGGTATATGTGATATCTTATTACATGCATAGAATGTGAATGATTAATCAGGCTACTTAGGGTATCTATCACATTGAGTAGATATCATTTCTATGTGTCAGAAACATTTCAATCCTCTCTTCTAGCTATTTTGAAATACACAATACATTGTAACTAACAATAGTCATCCTCCTCTGCTTTCCAACAAGAGAACTTATTCCTTCTGTCTAACTGTATGTTTGTACCCATTAACCAATCTGCCTTTATTTCAACACCCCACCCACCCACACACCCTTCACAGCCTCTGGTAACTATCATTCTACTGTCCACCTCCATGGAATTAATGATTTTTTAGCTCCCACATATGAGTGAGAACATGCAATAGTTGTCTTTCTGTGCACATAGACCATTTTCTATATTTCCTTAAAGGGAACCAAGATATCACTGGAAATGTAATGAGAAGGTGAGAATTTAATTTACCGGGACTTCTCAGGAGAGTAGGACAGTGATAGGAATAAAAATATGCCTACTCTATTTAGGAAAGGACCAAGACTCCCAAGGAGCAACCTCAAATATTAGCTTTCTTATTTCCCCAACTGCCTTCTAGGGAGAGTGGATTAGATTACCTTCAGGGCTTCTGTTTTAGTCAATTAAAGTGTAGCTCTCCAATACATAGGAGTGAAGATAGGGCTGCCCTGATTGTGTCCTTTTCTTACCATGCCTAACACTTCCAAAAAGAAAAAAGTCAAAATTACGTTTATATATTTAGGGATTTCATATAAATTTAAGTAAGTGTGAAAATTTTAAATATTTAAAGAATAGCAGTTTGAAGAGGTATCAAATCACTATTGTATCAGGGATGTGCTATTATTAGTCAACTTGGAGGTGAGTGAGTGTGTCTCCACCTGGGCCTGCTTCTACTTTATTTTTTCAAGATGCACTAACAAGCCAGAGGCTCTTTTGAGTAATTGGATGCATTTATCTATGCTTCTAGAGAACACAGAGTTAGAGGTTAGGAGGAAGAGCGGTAAAAGGGGAGTTGAGCAGTGGAATAGGCCACTTTGGAATACCTTATACCCCAAGAGAAGATTAGAGTGTTTTTATAGTACAAGAACATTTTTTATACCTCAATTTCATATGAATAGACACATGGTATACATATGCATGCATTATATATAACATGTATTTTATGCTGTAATTATATTATAAATTATATAAATGTATACTATATAAGTTATATTAAATATAAACAATTTTATCAAATATATAAAAAATATATGATTTGTTTTTGTTCTCTTTTATTTGGACTTTCCAAATACCACTGGAATCCAATATAAAATCATAAGACTAGCATTTTTTAATCACTTTATTGATGTATTATTACATACATAAAGCTGTGTGTATGTAATGTATACAACTTGGTGAGTTTGGAAAGACCAGCATCTTGGGTAAGTGAAATTCTCTCCTTTTCTCCAAAGCATCCCATCTTCTCCTCCATTTTTTCTTGGAGGTTTTAAAAAGTCAGAACCTCACCTGCATACCTCTTGAGAGTTAGAATGGTCAACCCTGTCCACTGGCTTCATGAGAAGAGGCTGGAATGGGAGCCTCCCACAACTTGCCAATATGGCCACACAATGTCTCCCACTGACTAGTTTGGGAACACTTGTCAAAGTGCAGTCTCTTAGTAGATGATGGGGCTGGACCTGATGTGCATGGTCAGGATTAAAAAGAGGATTGTAGCCTGTGCAGCTGGGATTAAGGATGGGTGAAGAACAAAATTGCAGCCATTAAAGAAGGGGTAAGATATAAGATCATCGATTTCCCATTGAAGTTTCATATTCTCAAATATCTATGATCTGGCCTCTCTCTAACCCACAGCACAAAGGAAAAGAGCCCAGTGTGATAATGTGATTCTGTAATTTTATCACTGAGTTCAAAATGAAATGATTGTTTTAGGGAATTTAAAGAACTTATATCTCCGTGGCAGAATTCCCTGGTTTCAGAATGTCTAAAAGTCCAAGTCTGAAAGAGGATTTAGAAACTTTTTTCATCTTCTTTATTTTTTTTACTTTTGTTTTATAATTTTTTATTTCTATAGGTTTTTGGGGAACAGGTTGTATTTGGTTACATGAGTAAGTTCTTTAGTGGTGATTTGTGAGATTTTGGTGTGCCCATCACCCAAGCAGTATACACTGAACCCAATTTGTAGTCTTTTATCCCTCACTCCTTCCCACACTTACCCCCAAATCCCCAAAGTCCATTGTATCATTCTTATGCCTTTGTATCCTATCATAGCTTAGCTCCCAACTATGAGTGAGAATGTTTGATGTTTGGTTTTCTATTCCTGAGTTACTTCACTTAGAATAATAGTCTCCAGTTCCATCCAGGTTGCTGTAAACACCATTAATTTGTTCCTTTTTATGGCTGAGTAGTATTCCAATGTATATATACGCACCACAATTTCTTTATCCACTCATTGATTAATGGACATTTGGGCTGGCTCCACATTTTTGCAATTGCAAATTGTGCTGCTATAAACCTGCACGTGCAAATATCTTTTCTATGTGATGACTTCTTTTCCTCTGGGTAGATACCCAGTAGTGGGATTGCTGGATCAAATGGTGCTTTTACTTTTCGTTCTTTAAGGAATCTCCACACTGTTTTCTACAGCAGTTGTACTAGTTACATTCCCACCAGCAGTGTAGAAGTGTTCCCTTTTCACCGCATCCCTGCCAACATCTATTATTTTTTGATTTTTTTGATTATGGCCATTCTTGCAGGAGTAAAGTTGCATCACATTGTGGTTTTGATTTGCATTTCCCTGATCATTTGTGATGTTAAGCAGATTTTCTCTTTACTTCCCATGCATGTAATAACAATTTCCATGTGTTTTGGCCAGAAGATATACAAATAGCCATGCAGGAGTGACCTCTGAAAGCTAGTTAGTTTGCAGTGCTCAAAACGGGAATTCAGAATAAAATGAGAGTTGGTCTAAGGTCAGCATAACCATGTGCAGTATCTAGTACCTGCTCTCCTTGGAATCGATGTTAAATTAATTTAAGCTTAAAAACTTGCTTCAATTTACCATTTTCTTTCCTTTGGCAGTATCATCTGTATTTTACCCGAGGAAGCTTTTTTTGGATGTTGTTTAAATTGCATTTCCGAGGCTGTCTGTAGGTGCTTACGCTTGGCTCAGGGGCTGAGATTTATTTTTTCCTTTGAAAATGGCAGGTTTTGAGGACTTCCAGAAAATGATTCTTCCTTGAGGCTCTCAATTGGGTAGTGATGAATGCAGAAGGAGGGAGACATTCTTGTATTTTTTCCTGATTCTTCAGTAACAAATATTGCATCATTGAAGCATAAGGTTAGGTTCAATACCTGCTGAATGGCACAAATGAGTAGGGGTATGAGGAAACCCTGGTGTGAAAAGATGACTACTCATAAAGCTGCTATACTGAACACTTTACAAGCATTATTTCATTTTGGCATCAGGTGGACTGGGTTTGAACACCACCTCCGTCACCTATTAGCTGCACACCTTGAGCAAGGTACTTAACATCCTTATGCCTCAGTTTGCCTCTTGTATAAAAGAGAGAAAATAATAGCTACCTCAAAGAGTTCTTGCGAGAGTTAGCAAATTTTTTACATATAAAGTACTTCAAATACTTAGTACCTACCTGGCTTATAAGCATTTATAAATATTAGCTATCATTATTAGTTCTTACATGATTGCCACCTTTTTACAGATGAGGAAATTGACATTTAGAAAGATCAAATAATTTGCACAAGGTCACAGTTGGCAAGTGGCTGAGCCAGGACTTGAAACCAAGTGTTTCTGTCTCCTTTGCTTAGGTTATTGGCCATCCTATACTATGTTGCACAAAGGAACTTGTAGAGTAGGACACACATATTTATAAGTAACTGTAATTTCCAGCAAATAAATAAATAACAAATAATAAATAAATAAATGGTGCTAGGATAGATTACATCTAGATGGGGAAATGGGGACATTTCAGAGAGGGGTAACATTTCTTCTTAGCCATAGTATGAACAATTACAACACCGTCAGTCATATATTGACTGAATTGCATTTCTAGTTATTGGTTATGGGTATTCAAATTTGGCTTGGGACTTTTTTTTCCTATTTAAATGTTAAATTTGGAAGCATACCATGAAAATGATACCTCCAATGACTTAAATGTTGCTAAGACAAACTCAAAATCTTATAAAGCTCCTGGGAAATAATTTCTCTATGGATCTCATGTTTGTTTGGCAGGAAAATAATCCTTCCACTCACACAATTTATTAAATTTTGCTGATCGTATGGCCACCTTCTATTCTTTTTCTTGTTTTCACACTTTCACAACCTTTAAATGTTTTAACCTTTTTTGTTTCATAAGTTGAAAATGTACTTTATACCCCAGTAAACTCATTATAAAGTTGAAAAATTATACATCAAATCATAGTAAGTTGGGGACCACCTGTATCTTAATTCACCCTTACAATAATCCTGAAAATAAGATATTGGACTCATTGTATGGATAACATTTGGAAATGAATGATTTGCCCAAGTTAGAGAGCCAGGCTGAGGGCCCAGATTCCCCTGCATCCAATGCCCAGCCCTCTCACTTCACACAGGGATGAATAGCTACGGTAGTCGGGGTTGAGGCACAGCTTGCATTGTCACATCCACGTCCTCCAGAAGTCATCAAATATTCTCTGATGGGAGAGCTGGGGTTCTTCAACATGCCAGGAGCTTATGTCTTGCAATGCCTGATGCTATGTTCAGGTCCTAAATTAATGGTTATGCCTGATGCCTCTTCAAATATAATGGATCTCATGAATGGAACAGCTTGCTAATTCCACGTGTGTCGATGAAAGGTTGACTTTATTACCCGCCCCCACCCCACCAGTTTTTTGGAGACAAGGTCTTACTGTGTTCCCTAGGCTAGGTGCAGTAGTGCAATTATAGCTCACTGCAGCCTCAAACTCCTGGGCTCAAGAGATGCTCCCACCTCAGCCTCCTAAGTAGCTTGGAACTACAGGTGTGTGCCGCCACACCCCACAAATAAAAAACAATTTTTTTTTTTTTTGAAGATGGGGTATCACTATGTTACCCGGGCTGGTCTTGAAATCCTAGCCTCAAGCCATCCTCCTGCCTTGGCCTCCCAGAGTGCTAAGATTACAGGGGTGGCCCACTGTGCCCAACCTATTTTCCACTTTTATGCCCCCCTGCCCAATCCCTATTGGTACATACCCTGGTACAGCATAGAAAATTTAGAAAGTAGAGAAATGCATAACGCAGTTAAAAAAAAATATATATAATATATATATTATATATTTATATATTATATATAATATATATATATTTATATTTATATATTATATATATAATATAAATATATATATATTATATATAATATAAATATATATTATATATATATATTTATATTATATATATAATATATATTATATATAAATATATATTTATATTATATATATAATATATATTATATATAAATATATATTTATATTAAATATATATATTTTATATAAATATATATATTATATATAAATATATATTTATATATAATATATATATTATATTTATATAATATATATATTTTATATATAATATATAAATATATTATATATAAATATAATATATATATAATATATAAATATATATATAATATATAAATATATATTTAATATATAATATATAAATATATATATATAATATATAAATATATATATATATAATATATAAATATATATATAAACATGTATTTGATACATCACCCAGAGACCACTTTGTTGCATGCCTCTTCTAGCCCCTGTTTTATGTACTTTCTTTCTAACCTAGTTGAATTTATACTGTATAAAATCATGCATCACTTTACAATTGGAACATTACTGAGAAATGCGAAGTTAAGCAACTTTATCATTGTCTGAACATCATAGATTGTACTTACACAAACCTAGATGGTATAGCCTATTGCTCCTAGGCTACAAACCTGCACAACATGTTACTATACTGAATACTATAGGCAATTGTAACACCATGGTAAGTATTTGTGTATTCAAACATATCTAAACAAAGAAAACGTACAGTAAAATTATGATAAGATATTATAATCTTACAGGACCATCATTGCATATACAACCCGATATTGACCAAAACATCACTATGTGGCAACTGACTTTATATGTTTTCACCTCTTAAAAAATTTAGCTCCGCAGTGACTGCACTGGTTTTTTTTTTGTTTTGTTTTGTGTGTGTGGGGGGGTGGTGGGATGGCGTGGGGGGGTTGTTTGTTTTAGCATTATATAAGATAAATTGCAGAAATTTGAGATCCACTTAGAATAAATGGCTGGTGATACATCTTGTCTGATTTTCCAAGAATGTGTCTTATTCTTTGAAAAGTTTTGGATCTGACAGAGCAGTTAGAGGAGAGGATCTATCAGCTTTATAATGATAACATCAAGATCATCTAGGAAAAGCTCCAGGGGTTCACTCAGAAAGTGGCAAAGATCAGCCATTTGGAAACAGAGCTTAACCAAGATGGCCACAGAAGGAGACTGTGTACAAAGACCTGTGCATCCGGTCTGAGGTATCCCGCCTGAGCAAACTCAATGGGGGGCTCTGCCTGAGGAAGCAGGGATGGCCCAGCTGATAGTAAATGTGAACAGAAACCAGGCAGCCAGCCCTGACCTCACAAGGCCACAGTCCCCACAAGGCCCGTGGTGCTTTTGCCATCTCATTTGTGACCCCCTGTAACATGGTGTGTCCAAGCGGAGAAGCCAGACCACTGTCATTTCCCACCATCACGTGATCAGCTGTGTGGTGACAGAAAGAACAAAATCCCCTGCACCCCTGCTGGTCAGAAACTGTCCTCTCCATCTACAGCCTTGAGCCCTGCATCCCTGGTATATGCCCCCCAGGGGCCTGGGCAGTGCTAACTTGGGTTTATTTATTACAGCAGAGCCTAAGACTCAGACATGGGCTAGACCACCATGTCCCAGTGACTCACAGCATTCAGATGTGTTCATTTCTCCTGTGGCTGAAACTACTTCTCAGGTGGTTACCAGTAAATGCCGTCCCTACCACGTTCCCATGACTCAGAGCACCCAGACGTGTTCATTTCTCCTGTGACTGAAACTACTTCTCAGGTGGTTACCAGTCAATGTAACCCAACACTATGGGGTCAGACGTGCAGCCTTCTTATTTTCCTCTCCCTTATTCTGCTCCAATGTCCAGCATAAGGCACTAACCCCGGATGGAAGGGTCGGAGGGTGCACTGTGAACCCTTGATGTGAGGGGAGTCTGCTCAGGCAGAGACCAAGGGGGTCTCCAGGAAGTTGCTTCAATGTCACACTCCTTCTCTCAATAGATGTTTCTATTTCAAGGTAAATGGAGTCTGTTCTCATCCATTGTTAAAAGTGGACTGAGAAACTCTACAGAGAATTCCATCTTCTTTTTAAGGAACACATCTGAACAACTTCAGAAGGGAAATTCTGATATTTAAAAATCAGTGTCTCTCACTTCCCACTCCATCCGCTAGCTTCCTTCCTAAGCTCAGAACACAGCATTCCCATGGTCCAGCCAGGCCTGTCTCTGGGAAGGGGTTTGAGAGCTTTGGGCCACTGGCTGGATGGGCTCACTTGCCAGCCGTGAATTTGTGGATTCCCGTGACAGGTCTTTCCAGGATCAGGGTGCGCATGTCATGTGTACCCTCAGAGGTTTTCATGGCCTCTGAGTTCCTGATGTTCCGGACCATATGATAGTCATCAGAAACCCCAGTACCCCCCAGCATGTCTCAGGCCTGGCAGGCAATGTCCAGGCTTTTTTCATAGTTATTCGTCTTTAGCAGAGAGACCTGTCCGGGGGCTGCCTTGCCCTGATTCTTCAAGTGGCTGTGCTGCAGACAGGCATGAAGGCCCAGCGTGACCTCAGTGAGCATGTCCTCCAACTTCTGAATCAGCTGGTGCCTGACCAACAGGATGCCAAACTGGATCCTGTGTGGGGTGTACTGCCTGGCCACGAGCAGACAAAACTCGGCAGCTCCAAGCACTCCCCACATGATACCAGATCTGGCGTTGTTCAGGCAGCCAAAGGGACCCTCCAGGCTGCCTGCACTGAGCAGCACGTCCTCCACCTCCACGCTGTCCACGATGATCATGCCCATGGCAGAGGCCCGCAGGGAGAACTTGCCCTCAATCTTGGAGGCCAAGAGACCCAACATACCCTTCTCCGACAGGAAGCCCTGAAGGTAGCCATCTTCCAGCCCACGCTACAAACAGGTTGGCCACAGGTGAGGTGGTGACCTAGGTCTCACTGGATCCTGGTGGTGATTCAGGTCCCGTTGGATCAGGGTGGTCCCATTGAGGGTGCAGCTCTTATTCCAGGGGTTATGGCAGGTTCTGATCTCCATGCTGCCGGGGTCACTCCTGCAGTTGGGCTCTATGAGCCTGAAGTAGCGCAGGAGCGCCCCCTTGGCCAGCAGGGGGCAGGTATAGGTTGCTGCAAACATAATTGCAGTTTTTGTCATTAGAAGTAATGGCAAAAAGCACAATTACTTTTGCACCAACCTAATACTTCTGCCACTGCTCCTCACTGATGTAGGTGTAGATAGGGCGCATGACTAGAGGAGGACTAGACACTCATTGCCAACCTGTAGCCACTGTCCACCCACTCCAGCTTTTAGACCAGAAGTGCATAGGCCACACATGAGACCCCAATACAGCCATATCCTTTGATGGTGGGGCCTAGTACACCCAGCTCCCACAGCTGCAATATGCTCCTCCCCATGAAAAACTTCAGTGCAATTGGCCAGCAGAATGCCAGGCATGAGTCACTGCTGGTGGTAAGTGTGGAAGGTGTTCCTGATGAGGATCTCATCTGCCCTCGTCTGCTCCTGCAGCACCAGCAGGTCCTGCCAGTTACACTCGGGATGCCAGGTGCCTCAGTGCCTCTGACCCTGGGCATGACCCTGTCATCCTGTTCAGGCAGCCCTTGGATTCTGGGACAGAATCCATCCGGGGCAGGCAGACAGTTGGGCAGGGGCTGCAGATGCACAGCGTGACCAGGGTCCTTATACTTGGCTGGTCAGCTCTGTGTCCTCCCATCTTTCTTAGTCTTGAGACCCACGTGTGCAGAACACGCAGGCTGGGTCTGTGGGCTCAGTAGCCCTACAGAGATGCCTCTCAGGGTCATGCAAGCAGTGGGCGAGGGGGCGGAACGAGGACTGTGACCTGGAGGAGCTGGGGCGCCAGAATGGAGCCGCTCCCAGCCATGGCCCTGGCCCCTGGGCCCTCCTGACCTGGTACCTCCCAGTTCACCAAATATTTTAATCTTAAAATTCTTGGTGACAGTGAGTATTTTCCCAAAGATTTGTAAGCACCCACAGTTTCCTGGCTTAAAAAACTATGTCTGTATTCCTTCAACCTATTAATTTGTCGAATCCTTTAGCTGTCCATTCTTCACTTAGTCTTCTCACTTGTATGATCATAACTGTTCTACGAAGAAGTTGGAGGAATTTTTGGCTCTGTTTCTAACAGATTCTCCACAATTTTGTTGATTGAGGTTTCAGGTGGCATTTATAAACAAGCAAGGGAATGACAGTAATTTATTGCTGCAAAATTACAGTGGGTTTGTAGTATCCTACATCACTGTAATATTGGACTATCAAAACTCATGAGGAACAAAACACTCGCCGTGAACCACAGCACACCTCAACATGCCTACCATTCTTTCCTTTCCCATTATACCACAGACTGAGGGTTCCTAAATTGGTTGCATATCAGAATCCCCAGAGGTAGCTTAATAAAAGGAAAGATTGGCAGGCCCCACTACCAGGAAGTCTGATTTGGAGATCTGGGGTATATCTGGGATACATAATCAAGGGATGCGATGGAGAGTCATTGAAGTGAGGCTGGCAGCGGGCAGGGCTGCTGTTTTACATGGGTGGGTAGAAAGGCTTCTCTGAGGATGTGCAGCTGGTTTGTGCTGAGACCAGAATGTTACCAAGGTGTAGGTTCTATGAAAACCTGGGAAAGAGTGTTCCTGCAAAGGGAGTGGCAAGAGCAAAGGCAGGCACACGGGAGGTGTGTTTGTAAAGGAAATAGGGAAACAGTGTGACTGAGGGATGGGGACAGTGTCCAAACCACACCATTCCTTAAGGGCCAGCTGAAGGAGCTTGCATTTCATTACAATTATGCTGTGCCATGATCTGATTTATTTTTTAAAAAAGATCACTCTGACTGCTCCATGGAGCATGGCATGAGTTGGAGGTATTTGGGAGTCTTGTTGAAAGCTGATGGTGAAGATGACATCTAAAATGAAATGGAAGGATGAGTGGGAGTTGGACCAGTCAAGGGGGTGGAGGGTGGAGTGTTTCAGGAAGAAGACTGGGCAAGTGCAAAGCCCTGAGGTGCAAAGATTGTTCTAGAAACTGACAGAAGATAAGGGAGGAGCCACAGAGGAAGATAGGGTCCAGGTGATGTGGCTTCCAGGATATAATGATAAAAAAGGTGAGTACAAAACAGCTAGGGTGGGCTGAAGGATCCTGACATCTTTTGAACGCCTACCATGATCTAGGCATAGGTACTTTCTTTGTTATTGCTTTCAATGTAGCGCAGCTTGCTTTGATTTTTCCAATATAATCTAGTAATTTGGATTTTGGTTTCCTGACTTTTAAATGTTGGCAAGCTAGTTAAAAAAATGTCTTTTTTAAAACCCAATGTGAGTTAAATAAAAGATGTCTGTGGGCTGAATTTGGCTTGTGACTTCCAGTATGTGGTCTTTGAGCAGCATGAAAACCAACCCAAATGGTGCTTTTGTGTAAATTAGGAAAAGGTCTCCTTTGCTCTACACGGCTTCCTAAAGGAAAATTGTCATATTAAATTATATATGTCAATGATGGCTGTGATGAAAATGGCAACACTAGAGTTGCGCAATGTACACAGTCTGGACAATTTAACAGCTTTATCTTTGAGCAAGAACAGGTGGGAAGAAGCAACAGGAAAATATGACATGGGAAAGGGCAATAGGGTGCTGGCGCTAACTGGCACTGGATCGTCAGAGCTGATTGTGCACATCTTTTCCCAACTCTGCGCTCACTAACATCATGAGAGCTTTAAATCCACCATAGTGGGAGTATTTACCATTTAGCCCCCTTCAGCAGTGGAGGCTGTTCATCCTCTCTCACCCCTATGTCTAGGAACAGAGGAAAGAAAGAGAACGGCACACTTTTATCTCCTTTTGCCTCTCCCAACCATTGCTACTCTGATCTTCAATTATCCCCCCTTTTTTTGACACTCCCAGTGAATTGCTCAAACCTCCTTTGCCTGACAACTGAGCAGGTTTACTGCTGATTTACCCAAATGAGAGCTTTGGTATCTCCCTCCCATGCCTTTCATCCACTCCAAGGCCCATCGGCCCACAGGGATGATCCAGGAAGCATTGCCGTCTCACAATCTTGTGACTTTATCAACTTCAAGGACATGTCACCTCTGCTCCACTTCAGACATGCACAACCACAGCCACATCTTGGATCACAAAGCCAACTTTGGAATAGCTGCATCTTTGAAATGTGATTATGATGACACCTTTTCTGCAGGACTGAGGTAAGGATTCAAAGACATTATGTCTGGAAAGCGACTAGCAAATGCCTTTCTTATAATAGATGTCCAAGGAAGGTTTCTTTTCTTGTCTTTTAAAGACAGGAACACAATTTTGAAACCCTGATATTTCTTCCTTTACTTTGCAGTATCACTTCAATTTGACATAAACAGTTGATATTTAGTAAACTTTCTGCTAAGTGACATCCTTAGAAATCCATGCTCTTTCCAGTACTCCTGAGCTACTGGCATCCAATATTATTGGCGGCAATTGTGCTAACATGCACAACACAATACCCACTCTTTTAATTACAGAACATTCTTGCAGTAAAGTGACACTGATTCTCATCTGATTAATATTTATAGTTTTTACTTTTGGCTAAATGCCAGGTATCTTCATCATGTGAATTTCTCTGGCTTCCCAGTTCTCTTTTGCTGCCTCTCTTATTAGCTTATTTGTGTGAGCATATCTTTGTTTTACCCAATCCAGGAGTGTCATGGATTCCTTAAGTCACAAGCCTTCTACCCAGGAGGGGCTTTTACTGGGCAATTGTAACTAAATGTAAGTGGGTACTGAATAATTTTATGTAACTTTTCAGAAAAAACTTCAATGCTTACATTTGAGAAAGTGTAGGGAAAGGGTCATGATGGTTTTGATCGTTGGTCAAAAATTGGTATGCCTGGTTAGTAAATGAAAGGGGTATTAGATATCTTTCAAACATGCTTCACTTTTTGCTAACTTTCTGTAGCTTCCATTGGCTTCTCTTAGGATCCCAAAATCTATACTCTGACATATGAACCATCATTTAAGCAGTTTGCTGCAAAGGAATTTGTGTTTTTTCATAAACTTTTGCAAATGTGAGAATGTGTTAGCCATAGTAACAGTTAAAAGGCTGAAGTTTGTAATATATTATCATTTAAAAAGATATCCAAACTTAGACGTGCCAGAGGTAAAATTATTTTCTCTGATGCAGGAAGACCTTGTATATTAAGGATTCTGTTTTCAAAATCTCTTTATTTTCCATTTCACTATGAATGTTACTGATCTAATTTAAGTTCTTATTATTTTGTGCTTGAACAATTTCAATAGCATTCTAACTGCTCTTCCTGACTTCTCCTTTCCTTCTAAACTCACATTCTTATGTCTGATAAAGTTCAAAGATGACTCATTGCCAGTTGTACTGATGTTCAAACAGTATTTCAAAGGGCAGTATAGAGTCCCCAGCCATGGCTGGATGGTGAGACTGTGGGCAGGGGGCATATCCCTGCTTCTATTAGGACAGCTCTATATGGATCAGTTTTATCCTGTTTGGATTTCTTACAAGATTCTGCTTAAAACAAGTGTGCTGCTGTTGAAAACTATTAGTCCTCAGGACAAAATCCACATTCTTGGCATGGTAGTGAAATCCCTTCTCAACATACCTCCAAGCCAGTGTGCCATCTTCCTTTCTCTTCTCCATTGTTTTGTTTTGCTCACAGTTCATGGCTCACTCATCACTCCTTAAATACAGATGCCCCTCAACCTTTGTTCATACTGTGATAACTTTCCTTAAAAAACATTTTCCCCAGATTTGGTGTGGTATAATTGACAAATAAAAACTTTCTACATTTAACGTGTACAATGTAATGATTTGATATATGTCTACATTGTGAAATGATGACAATCAAGCTAATGAGGACATCCATCACCTCATATAATTACCATTTTTGGTGTGTGGTGGTGAGAACTGTCTTAGCATATTTCAAGTATGTAATACAGCACTATTAATTTTAGTCACCATTATGTATATTAGATCACCAGAACTTGCTGATCTTGTAACTGAAGGTTTATCCCCTTTGACTAACATCTCCCCATTTCCCTTACTCCCCATCCTCCTCGCTCCCCATCATCTATCAACTACCATTCTACTCTCTGCTTGTGTGAGTTAAGACTTTTTTTTTTAATTTATTTTTATTTTCAGTTCTGGGGTACATGTGCAGGTTTGTTACATAGGTAAATGTGTGCCATGGTGGTTTGCTGCATCTATCATCCCATCACCTAGGTATTAAGCCGAGCATGCATTAGCTATTTTTCCTAATGCCCTCCCTCCCCCAACCCCACCCCCCAACAGGCCCCAGTGCATATTGTTTCCCTCCCTGTGTCCATGTATTCTCATTGTTCAGCTTCCATTTATAAGTGAGAACATGCAGTGTTTCTGTTTTCTGTTCTAGTGTTAGTTTGCTGAGGATAATGGCTTCCAGCTCCATCCATGTACCTGCAAAGGCCATGATCTTGTTCCTTTTTATGGCTGCATAGTATTCCATGGTGTATATGTACCACATTTTCTTTATCCAGTCTATCATTGATGGGCATTTGGGTGGAGTTAGACTTTTAAATATTCCATACATAAGTGAGATCATGCAGTGTTTGTCCTTCTGTGACTGGTTTATTTAACCTAATGTCCTCTAGGCTCATCCATATTGTCACAAGTGGGGAGATTTTCTTCCTTTTTTGTCTGAATAATATCCCATTGTATATATGTACCACATTTTCATATACTGTCATATCTTTGCCTTAAATATCTTCCTCCTTTTGACTATTTGGAAAATGCAGTATTCATTTGTTCATTCATGCATTCATCCAACAACGATTTATTGAGCATCTGCTATGTGCCATACCCTGTTTAGGTACCAGGGACTGCTATTATATAGCCAAATTTATGACATCTTCTCTATGACATTGCCCAGGCAAAATTACCTGATGCCTTCTCTGTACTTCATGATACTTTGTCATATTGAGATTATTTTCTAGTTGATTGCATTGCTCTGATTCTCATGTATGCTTTTCTCTTTTTAAGGTTGACATCCATATCTTATTTGTGAATACATTTTTCCCTCTCATCGTAGCTGATTAGATGTTCAATAAATGAATAGTTTTCTCTCTTTCTTCTTTTTTTTTTTTGAGATGGAGTCTCGCTCTGTCACCCAGGCTGGAGTGAAGTGGCGCTGTCTCTGCTCACTGCAACCTCTGCCTCACAGGTTCAAGCGATTCTCCTGCCTCAGCCTCCTGAGTAGCTGGGACTATGGGCGCGTGCCACCACACCCGGCTAATTTTTTTTATTTTGTTTTAGTAGAGACGGGATTTCACCATGTTAGCCAGGATGGTATCGATCTCCAGACCTAGTGATCCGCCTGCCTCGGCCTCCCAAAATGTTGGAATTATAGGCGTGAGCCACCGTGCCCAGCCTTTTCTTTCTTTTAAAATCTGTTTGCACCACAAAAGAATGAGCTCTACAGGGATGGGGATCTTTGTTTATTTTGCCTGACACGTGATAGGTACTCAAGGATTATTTGCTGAAATTGATGAAGAGTTCTCATTTCTGTAGTGAAAACAGCAGCTGTAGGAATGGTAACAGAGTAGACAAAGGGCATTTTCAGGTGTTTTTGGTGTGCAAAGCTGCACCTCTGTGATATTGTTGGGGTTAAGAGAGCACTGGGTATCCATAGCCACTAGCAGTACAGTCTTGGGCCAGTCACTTACCATTTTGGGGCTTGCTACCTTATCTATAGATAGGAGGGTTGGACTCAGCTCATCCCTTCTCTAAGTTGGAATGATGCCATGATTCTATGTATTTAGGAGTACCTTGTAGATTGAAGGGCATGTCTTCTCAGAACTCTCAACTTTAATTTATGGAAGTCATAATTAAAGTAAAATGGTGGGTAGAATTTTATATTTGGAGCAAGTTTATACATACAAACCTTTTCCCCTTCATCTATTATGTCAAAGCCATGGATATTTTGATAGTTGACTTTTCTCTCTTGCATATGAATGATAAAAAGAAAGTGATACATTAGTGGAACTGTCATTTTCTGTGTGGTCACAGCAAATTTAAAAAAATGCATTTTAATCATAAAATTAGCCTGATTCATGGTGTTTCTATCTAGAAATTATAAAAGGATGAGAGAAATTTTACTCGATGATCACGAGACTTTAGCTGGAAAAGATGAACATAGGGTCAATAGTACAAACTTACTTTTTTTTTTAAAGAAATAAATGCAGAAAATGGGTTTGAGTTGCTAAGTCAGAGAAAGGCTGTTGGCTTCCCAAGAGTTGCTAGACCTTTGAATGAGATCTAACAAGACTCAAGAGTCTTTAAAAACAAGCTGCTTTTTTTTTTTTTTTCCCGGCTAGAAATATTTTAGATGTGGGTGTGTGGGGTGGTGGGGAGGGTGTCCATCCTGGGACTCAGGTGTGAATGTCCACTTTCTTTTGGTCCTGTGATTCTGCAGAAGAGTGTTCAGTAATTAGCTAGCCCAGAAAAAATATTTATATATTATGAGTTGTGATGAAGACTTAACAACTCTTTGGTTCTGTGCAGCCTATGGACAGCTTATGGGCAGGAATTAGGGGGTGTTAACCAGTCCTTTGTTGAAGTGTGTGGACTCCTCAGGCAGATGAGAACGACCTTTGTTGGCACAGCTAAATGTCCTTGACCAGTCGGAGGTGGGATAGAGATGAGGAAGAGCAGAGAGTAAAATTCCTCAGAAGTTTCTAAACCAACTAGCATGACTTTGGATTAAAAGTATCCCCAAATGGCCACTGTCCCCATCTACAGCCTTGCTCTGCCCCCTGCTGTTGGCTGCATTATTCCTGGATGCACTACTCCTCTATTCAAAATGGTTTACAATTCGAGGCAGATGAGTAGGTGGAAGGGGGAATTTCAGGATTTCTGGGGATTACTACCTCCAGAAGTACCCCCTCCGTGGAAAATCAACCCATTTTGATAAACATCGGGATCCCCCTTGCCGCCCCCGGAAGAACAGGTGCCATTCATATTCTGATGTCGAAGGCTTCCCCAGTGCTTGGAGTCGTGCACAGGCCACAGTGTCAGATGAGAGGTGTGAAAGTTTTCTGTGACTTTGGTGGCAGTCGCGGGGGAGGGTCTCACGGCAAGGCAGCCCCATTGTGGTTGCCCGGCGACTGCGGAGCGCTTGGAACCACGCTGCGCCGCGTCCCCAGGACCCAGCAGAGTGCTCCAGCTCCCGCGGAGGAGGCTGCGGGCGGCGCCCCGGGATAGGGACCCTGCAGCTCCAGGTAGACGCAGGGAGCGCGGGACTCGCCCCCTGGCAGGGTGAGGTAGAGCCGGACCGTTTGCTCTCTGCTGCTCCCCGGGACTCCAGCCGCGCCCGTGAGAAGAGGCAGCACGGCAGCAAAGGCCAAGGAGCGGAGGCAAGCGGCGGAACCCGTCGCGGTGGTCGCCGGCCCCCGAGCGGGTCGACCCGTCTCGGGGCAGGGGGGTGGGGGGCCAAGGAGCTCTCCTCCCCCGCCCCAACCCCCACCTCGCCGCCTCGGCCCGGACCGAGACGCACACGCTCCTTAATCCCCCGCCCCCCGTTGCCCCGGCGACGGCCCAGACGAGCAGGTGATGCATTGACAGCGAGCAGATGGTCCCCCGCGGAGGCGAGCGCGGCCCACAATGCGCCCCGCGCAGCGATGCCACCGCCGCCCTCCCCACCCGGCCGGCTCGCCGCCGCCCGCATGCTAATACAGGAAGGGGGAGGGGTGGGGGAGGGAGCGGGGGAGGGGCCGGGCGGAGCGGTTGGGGGCGGTGGAGGGCACGCCCCGCCTTGCTCTTTGCAGCCCTGCTCACCTCATTTTACTGAATGCCCTCCCCAGATCTCCGCACCAGGAAAGTTCCTCTCTTTACATGTAGAGACACTCTCCCTGTCCCGCTTCTCCCCCTAACCTTCCCCGCCCGCTCCAGCTCTCTTTTAATTCCCCCCAAGTGGTTAATTTCCATTGAGATAAACGCTTAACCCCTCCTTCAGCGCTCCTTACCCCTGTTCTGCAGCCCCTGCCCACATCTGCTCCCTGCTGGCATTTAATATTGAATCTTGGAAGACCAGAGGAATGGATTTACCACCGCCGCCCCCACCCTGTCCCTACTTCTAGAGCTGGCCTTGACACTTGTTAAATGTGTGTAGACATATTATTTATCTCACATCCCCCCAACCCCGCACTTCAGGATCTTTTAGGCAGCTTCTTTTGGTCTTCCTTTCTGGAATTTCAAAAATAAATCACTCTTCTCCCTGTGACAACTGTGCTGCCCCCTCCCGGGAAACCCTCCCATTCACGTAACCTCCTCCTCCCATTCATTCGACACCCCCTCCCTTCTTTACCCTATTCACCGCTGTGTGGCAAATTGAGGCGATCTTATACTAAGGGCATGAAAACTGCTAGGCACTATTCACAATTTTAATACTAACTTCATAGCTGTCACATAAATTCATTGCCGGGCCTACTTAAAATGGCCAAGAAGGAACTTTAAGAGAAGAAGAGGAAAAAAAAGTCTGAAGACACTGCCGTGGTGTCTTTCTTTGATTTGCAGGTGTTTTTTGAAACCATTACTACAGTAACTGCAGATAGTGGTTTTTTTTTTATCTGCCACATAGAGTGCTTAAAAAACCCCCACCCATCCTCCTCCTTTTTATTTTACAGTAGATAAAAAAATGCCAATAAAGGCTTAAAAAAAGGAATGGAGAGAGAAAGAGAAAAAGAGACTAGTGAATAAAGTTGGGACAATACAGGGTCACAGAGCTGTCGAAACTAATGTCATAGTGTGGCTGTTGTACAGGCGTACAGAAAACTTCTTGTTTCTTGATTTTTATGGAGATTTGGTCTAAGGCATGGAGCACTCTCTGAACAGGTTTAGAACAAGTGGCAAAGAAAGAACTCTTCACAATAAACTCCCTTCTGATGGGCTTTATGCCCACAAACACCTGTGAGTTACAAAGAGGCATTGCAGAAGACAAAGGGAGGCGAGAGGGCCAGGCTATTGTGGAGAAATGATGCCTCATGTACCCATGGCCCTAAGAGAGGGTTGTTTTATTTTAAAACTTGTCTTAGATCCTTGCTATGCAAACTTACAATGAGAAAAGAAGCATTAGACTCTTCTAGGGGCTCATAATGACTTTTTCAAATACTTCTAACTCATTTTGAGCCTTCGTTTTGGTAAATTCTTACACTAGTGAATATTGTACTTACTGGAATTCAAAGAAAGATGACTTATCTTGAAGATGAAGTTAGAAATCATTATCTAAGAGTTAGAAGTAAGTAGTAAGAATGTTTGCTTTAGGGGTGTATAACATTTAAGTGTATTTAACAATTTTATGAACTTATTTTCCATAAATGCTAATACTTTCATGCGTATTTCCTCTTAATTTCTTGTCTTTTTCTCCTTTTTCTTATCTCTAAGGTTTTTTTTTTTTTTTTTGTCTCCCCTTTTGGCTTTTGCTTTTTTCGTGTTCTTTGTAGTTTCCCCTCCACCAATAATTTAAAGAGGAGGGCAAAAATATGAAGATGTAAGGGGGTAAAATAAAGAGCTACAAGTTGAGGGAGGTTCCCTTTGGTTTAGGGTGGCCAAGTCCTCTCTGAGGAAATCACATTTCAGCTGGGACCTAAAGCAAGTGAGAATGCAGGGGAACACCAAGCAAGCAGAGGCACGTGCAAAGGCTCTCAGGCAGAAAAGAGCTTCAGGGATCCTGAGTCACTGAAGCAAGGCTGGTATGGCCAGAACATTGTGAGTGTGGGGAACATCAAGCAAGCAGAGGCATGTGCAAAGGCCCTGAGGCAGAAAAGAGCTTCAGGGATCCTGAGTCACTGAAGCAACGCTGATGTGGCTGAAACATTGTGAGTGTGGGGAGAATATTGCAAGATGAGGTTTGAGAGATTAGCCAGAATCAGATCGTCGAAAGCTGTATCAGATGTGGGAAAATACTGGATTTTATTCTAAGAGAAATAGGAAGCTACTGAAGGATTTTGAGGGATCTATGTGACTGAATTTATATTTTATCACCACTACCTCTGCTTTGTAGAATATGGATTGAATGAAGGAAAGAATGGAAAGTGCAACAAGTGGTTAGGAAGCTGTTAGAAGGCTGCTGTAGTAATCCAGACAAGCAACAGCAGAAACCTTAATCCTGGATTAAGGTAGTGTTAATGGAAATGAAGATGGATTTAGGATCTACTTTAGAGAAAGAACTGATGAGAGCTGATGGATGAGATTGCTTGCGTGGGGTGAAGAGGGAAAGGGAGGAACTGACGGTAGCACACTTGGCAGATGGTGGTGCACATTGCAGAGATGGGGAAGAGAATCAAGATGGGGGTGTGGATCAATAATTCGACGGGTTAATTTTGAACTGTTGTTGAGGTGGCCTAAAGGAGATGGTGGGCCTGGAGACAGACACTTGACTTGCCCTATGCCCTCATCCTTTCCTAAGCTTCTTGGGATCTATGATGTGGCATGGGATGAAGGGATGAGCTGGGCTGGTAAGATTTTCCACTTCCTGACTCTGAACTGGAAATACTGAGATAATCTGGCAGTTTGCATCAGGGAAGGAATTGAAAAGTCATGAGCTGGAGAAAGAACCATTAAAGATTATGATCAAATGGATGCCATGAATAAGTAGAAGTCTATGAAACACAGTTGAGGGAGAGGAAATTTTTGTTAAAGGTTAAAGAAGCTAGCAGAAAGGAGCAAGTTTATGGAAAGAAGATATGCCATGTGACTAGAGGAATATTAGGACGAAGACCTGTGAAGTCAGGCAGTTGAGGTGTTTACAGTTGCTTTTGACGCAGACTGAATCTCCTATTTCAGACTGTGAAACAGTAAGATGCAAATTGCTGGATAATGTATTTAAGGAAAAGATAAACCACAAACACATAGAATTAAGAATGAGGGCCAGGTGCGGTGGCTCACCCCTGTAATCCCAGCATTTTGGGAGGCCATGGCAGGTGGATCACTTGAGCTCAGGAGTTCAAGACCAGCCTGGCTAACAGGGTGAAACCCCATCTCTACTAAAAAGTATAAAAATTAGCTGGGCGTAGTTGCGCACGCCTGTAATCCCGGCTACTCAGGAGGCTGAAGCGTGAGAATCACTTGAACCTGGGAGGCAGAGGTTGCAGTGAGCTGAGATCGTGCCACTGCCCTCCAACCTGGGTGACAGAGTGAGACTCTATCTTAAACAAACAAACAAAAAAAAAACAAAATTGAAAACAAGGAGTTTCTAACAAGTTGGGGGTTATGTTTGGGAAGTCAGGAATTCCTTTTTCCCTTCAGAGTCCTGGCTCATAGAATAAGGCCTATTTTGATTCAGCTTATCAGCTTTATTGATGTCCACTAAAATGACTCTCTGAGTAAAGGGCTCCATGATAAAGATTAAAGTGAGAAATGAGGCTTGAGTTTTAAGCCAGGGTGAGTTTTCCATTCTCTCCAATCAAATTGACTGAAGATAACTCACAAATTACATTGGAGGATCTGGGGGTAGAAATAATAGTGACTGACATTTGCCAAGGTTTACAAGGTGTGATTGCCATGTAGAAACAAGGAGCTCAAGGCCTGCCATGTCTGAGCACAGGGAAGCAAAAGGAGAAGCCAGATAACAATAGAGTGTAGAGGTGGAACCTTATTACCTAATTCCTGCTAAATTTGGTCCATTAGATATAAGGCTTTCTTTAATCTCGCCAATTATCTCTTGAGGCAAGGAGTGTTTGTTTCTATATTTTTTTCTGGAGAGTACAACAGAAGCTACTACATCTACAATTCCAAGAAAATGGGATGGATGCACCAGAGTTTCCTCTTGTTATAGTACATATAGAGATTCAATATAAAAACTACTATGTAGAATTCAGTGGTAAACTATGCAGTTAAAATAGCCCAACAAATATTATTATATTGATGGGAAAAAATAATTAAAATTAACTCAAGGAGAGGTGGATGACCTGATTAGAACAATAGTTATGACAAAGATGAAAAATGCTTTCAAATATTTAATTCCCAAAAAAGTTCTAAGCCCAGATAGTTTTACGAGTCAGTTCTTTAAATGTTTTAAGGAAAAAGAAGTTCCACATTATAGAAATTTAATACATAAACACTGGTGAAATTTTTCTAATTTATATGATTGCCAGACTGGACTAAGAGTATGATAAAACAAAATCAACAATTTTATGCAGGCATATAGATGCTAATGTTCTAAAAACCCTATGCACACATTTAATTCATCAATGTAAGGTATGCTACTACCCACTAGATATTATTTCAGAATGGTTTAATATTAGGAATTCTAGGAATATATAACAATAATATAATAAACAAGAATAATCATATGGGAATTCTATTAAATACCAAATGTATTATAAAACTACTCCTTATAATGTTTTATAAATTAGAAAGAGATAGATACTTATTTAACATAATAAACTATTTTAATATGAAAGCAATTATCATACTTAATGAAAAACACTAGAGGACTTTAAAATTAAAATTACAATTAAAACAAGGAGACCTATCATTGCCATTATTCTTTTGGATTGTTCTAAAAATTCTAGAAAATTAAATAAGATGTAAAACAGAAATAAGTGGCATAGTCGTTGAAAAGGAAGAAAAAGATCACTAATTGCAAATAACATTGCTCACTGATATGTGAAAATAAAATCAATGGATAAATAATAATATTGAATAAACTGATTCAATACCAAATAAATACAAAATGCAATAGTTTAAAAAATTAATAAAGATAACTTAGAAATAAAATGGGGGATTTTGTATTTTTAAGAGAATTTCAGACCAGTTATCCTATATAACTCTCCAAATTGACTAAAAACTGGATAAAATATTTTTAAAACATTGTAAGATGCATTTATGAGCTGGCATAAAGGTAGAAATCCTGAGAAATAACAGAATGCCAGAACTTAAAGGATTTCTTTTAAATGTCAGAGACTAAGATTTAAATTTTAATGGCAATACAGAAGATAGGCTGTTAGAAATAAAGTGGGGAGCTTAGCTGAAACATAAAGCTGGGATCCTAGTGTAGGAAGGAGCAATACATAAACCTGACATAGTTTGGGTTCCTGTTCCAAGATGGCCGAATAGGAATAGCTCTGGTCTGCAGCTCCCAGTGTGATCGACACAGAAGACGGGTGATTTCTGCATTTCCAACTGAGGTACCTGGGTCATCTCACTGGGACTGGTTGGACAGTGGGTGCAGCCCATGGAGGGTGAGCTGAAGCAGGGCGGGGCATTGGCTCACTTGGGAGGTGCAAGGGGTCAGGGGATTTCCCTTTCCTAGCCAAGGGAAGCCGTGACAAGCTATACTTGGAAAAACAGGACACTCCTGCCCAAATACTGTACTTTTCCGATAGTCTTAGCAACCGGCAGACCAGGAGATTTTCTCCTGTGCCTGGCTCAGTGGGTCCCATGCCCATGGAGCCTTGCTCACTCTAGCGTAGCAGTCTGAGGTCAACCTGTGAGGCTGCAGTGTGGATGGGGGAGGGGCGTCTGCCATTGCTGAGGCTTGAATAGGTAAACAAAGCAGCCGGGAAGCTCAAACTGGGGGAACCCACCATAGCTCAGCAAGGCCTACTGCCTCCATAGAGGCACTTCTTTGGGCAGGGCATAGCTGAACAAAAGGCAGCAGTAACGTCTGCAGACTTAAACATCCCTGTCTAACAGCTCTGAGGAGAGCAGTGGTTCTCCCAGCACGGTGTTTGAGCTCTGAGAACAGACAGACTGCTTCCTCAAGTGAGTCCCTGACCCCTGTGTAGCCTAACTGGGAGACACCTCCCATTAGGGGCTGACAGTCACCTCATACAGGTGGGTGCCCCTCTGGGATAAAGCTTCCAGAGAAAGGATCAGGCAGCATTATTTGCTGTTCTGCAGCCTCTGCTGGTGATACCCAGGCAAACAGGGTCTGGAGTGGACCTCCAGTAAACTCCAACAGACCTGCAGCTAAGGGACCTGACTTTTAGAAGGAAAACTAAAAAACAGAAAGGAATAGCATTAACATCAACAAAAAGGACATCTACACCAAAAGCCCATCTGTAGGACACCAACATCAAAGACAAAAGGTAGCTAAAACCACAAAGATGGGGAGAAACCAGAGCAGAAAAGCTAAGAATTCTAAAATCAGAGTGCCTCTTCTCCTCCAAAGTGTTGCAGCTCCTTGCCAGCAATGGAACAAAGCTGGTTGGAGAATGACTTTGATGAGTTGACAGAAGTAGGCTTCAGAAGGTCTTTAATAACTTCTCTAAGCTAAAGGAGTATGTTCAAACCCATTGTGAGGAAGCTAAAACCCTTAAAAAAAGGTTAGACGAATGGCTAACTAGAATAAACAGTGTAGAGAAGACCTTAAGTGAACTGATGGAGCTGAAAACCATGGCATGAAAACTTCGTGACACATGCACAAGCTTCAATAGCCAATTCAAGAAGCGGAAGAAACGGTATCAGAGATTGAAGATCAACTTTATGAAATAAAGCGAGAAGACAAGCTTAGAGAAAAAAGAGTAAAAAGAAATAAAAAAGCCTCTAAGAAATATGGGACTATGTGAAAAGACCAAATCTATGTTTGATTGGTGTACGTGAAAGTAATGGGGAGAATGGAACCACGTTGGAAAACACTCTTCAGGATATTGTTCAGGAGAACTTCCTCAACCTACCAAGGCAGGCCAACATTCAAATTCAGGAAATACAGAGAACACCACAAAGATACTCCGCAAGAAGAGCAACCCCAAGACACACAATTGTCAGATTCACCAAGGTTGAAATGAAGGAAAAAATGTTAAGGGAAGCCAGAGAGAAAGGTTGGGTTACCCACAAAGGGAAGCCCATCAGACTAACAGCAGATATCTCGGCAGAAACCCTACAAGCCAGAAGAGAGTGGGGGCCAATATTCAACATTCTTAAAGAATTTTCAACCCAGAATTTCATATCCAGCCAAACTAAGCTTCATAAGTGCAGGAGAAATAAAATCCTTTACAGACAAGCAAATGCTGAGAGATTTTATCACCACCAGGCCTGCCTTACAAGAGCTCCTGAAAGAAGCACTATACATGGAAAGGAACAGCCAGTACCAGCCACTGCAAAAACATGCCAAATTGTAAAGACCATCAGTGCTATGAAGAAACTGCATCAATTAATGGGCAAAATAACCAGCTAACATCATAATAACAGGATCAAATTCACACATAACAATATTAACCTTAAATGTAAATGGGCTAAATACCCCAATTAAAAGACACAGACTGGCAAATTGGATAAAGAGTCAAGACCCATTAGTGTGCTGTATTCAGGAGACCCATCTCACATGCAGAGACACACATAGGCTCAAAGTAAAGGGATGGAGGAAGATCTACCAAGCAAATGGAAAGCAAAAAAAAGGAGGGGTTGCAAGCCTAGTCTTGAATAAAACAGACTTTAAACCAACAAAGATCAAAAGAGACAAAGAAGGCCATTATATAATGGTAAAGGGATCAATTTAACAAGAAGAGCTAACTACCCTAAATATATATGCACCCAATGCAGGAGCAACCAGATTCATAAAGCAAGTCCTTAGAGACCTACAAAGAGACTTAGACTCCCACACCATAATAATGGGAGACTTTAACACCCCACTGTTAATATTGGACAGATCAGTGAGAAAGAAGGTTAACAAGGATATCCAACACTTAAATTCAGTTCTGCACCAAGTAGACCTAATAGACATCTACAGAACTCTCCACCCCAAATCAACAGAATATACATTCTTCTCAGCACCACATCACACTTACTCTAAAATTGATCACATAATTGGAAGTAAAGCACTCCTCAGCAAATGTAAAAGAACAGAAATCACAAGAAATTGTCTCTGAGACCACAGTGCAATCAAATTAGAACTCAGGATTAAGAAACTCACTCAAAACTGCACAACTACATGGAAACTGAACAACCTGCTCCTGAATGACTACTGGGTAAATAACGAAATGAAGGCAGAAATAAAGATGTTCTTTGAAACCAATGAGAACAAAGTCACAACATACCAGAATCTCTGGGACACATTTAAAGCAGTGTGTAGAGGGAAATTTATAGCACTAAATGCCCACAAGAAAAGCAGGAAAGATCTAAAATCAACACTCTAACATCAAAATTAAAAGAACTAGAAAAGCAAGAGCAAATAAATTAAAAGCTAGCAGAAGGCAAGAAATAACTAAGATCAGAGCAGAACTGAATGAGATAGAGACACAAAAATCCCTTCAAAAAATCAATGAATCCAGGAGCTGGTTTTTTGAAAAGATCAATAAAATTGATAGACTGCTAGCAAGACTAATAAGAAAAGAGAGAAGAATCAAATAGACTCAATAAAAAATCATATAGGGGATATCACCACTGATCCCACAGAAATACAAACTACTATCAGATAATACTGTAAACACCTCTACACAAATAAGCTAGAAAATCTAGAAGAAATGGATAAATTCCTGGACATATACACCCTCCCAAGACTAAACCAGGAAGAAGTTGAATCTCTGAATAGACCAATAACAGGCTCTGAAATGGAGACAATAATTAATAGCCTACCAACCAAAAAAAGTGCAGGACCGGATGGATTCATAGCCAAATTCCACCAGAGGTACAAAGAAGAACTGGTACCATTCCTTCTGAAATTATTCCAATCAATAGAAAAAGAGGGAATCCTCCCTAACTCATTTTATGAGGCCAGCATTATCCCGATACCAAAACAAAAAAAAAAGAGAATTTTAGCCCCATATCCCTGATGGACATTGATGCAAAAATCCTCAATAAAATACTGGCAAACCGAATCCAGCAGCACACCGAAAAGCTTATCCACCATGATGAAGTCAGCTTCATCACTGGGATGCAAGGCTGGCTCAACATATGCAGATTAATAAATGTAATCTGTCACATAAACAGAACCAATGACAAAAAACACATGATTATCTCAATAGATGTAGAAAAGGCCTTTGAGAAAATTCAACAGCGCTTCGTGCTAAAAACTCTCAATAAACTAGGTATTAATGGAACATACCTCAAAATAATAAGACCTATCTATGACAAACCCACAATCAATATCATACTGATTGGGCAAAAACTGGAAGCATTCCCTTTGAAAACTGGCACAAGACAAGGATGTTCTCTGTCACCACTCCTATTCAACATAGTGTTGGAAGTTCTGGCCAGGGCAATCAGGCAAGAGAAAGAAATAAAGGGTATGCAATTAGGAAAAGAGGAAGTCAAATTGTCCCTGTTTGCAGATGACATGATTGTATATCTAGAAAACCCCATCATCTCAGCCCCAAGTCTCCTTAAGCTGATAAGCAACTTCAGCAAAGTCTCAGGATACAAAACCAATGTGCAAAAATCACAAGCATTCCTATATACCAATAATAGAAAAACAGGGAGCCAAATCATGAGTGAACTCCCATCCACAATTGCTACATAGAGAATAAAATACCTAGGAATACAACTTACAAGGGATGTGAAGGACCTCTTTGAGGAGAACTACAAACCACTGCTCAACAAAATAAAAGAGGACAGAAACAAATGGAAGAACATTTCATGCTCATGGATAGGAAGAATCAATATCATGAAAATGGCCATACTGCCCAAGGTAATTTATAGATTCAGTGCTATCCCCATCAAGCTACCAGTGATTTTCTTCACAGAATTGGAAAAAACTACTTTAAAGTTCATATGGAACTAAAAAAGAGCCCACATTGCCAAGACAATCCTAAGCCAAAAGAACAAAGCTGGAGGCATCACACTACCTAACTTCAAACTAAACTACAAGGCTACAGTAACCAAAACAGCATGTTTCTGATACAAAAACAGATACATAGACCAATGGAACAGAACAGCGGCCTCAGAAATAACAGCACACATCTACAACCATCTGATCTTTGACAAACCTGACACAAACAAGAAATGGGGAAAGTATTCCCTATTTAATAAATGGTGCTGGGAAAACTGGCTAGCCATATGTAGAAAACTGAAACTGGGCCGGGCACGGTGGCTCATGCCTGTAATCCCAGCACTTTGGGAGGCCGAGGCGGGCAGATCACGAGATCAGGAGATTGAGACCATCCTGGCTAACATGGTGAAACCCCGTCTCTACCAAAAATACAAAAAATTAGCCTTGCATGGTGGCGGGCACTTGTAGTCCCAGGTACTCAGAAGGCTGAGGCAGGAGAATGGCATGAACCCAGGAGGTGGAGCTTGCAGTGAGCCGAGATTGTGCCACTGCACTCCAGCCTGGGCGACAGAGAGAGACTCCTTCTCAAAAAAAAAAAAAAAAAAAAAAAACTGAAACCAGATCCCTTCCTTACACCTTATACAAAAATTAATTCAAGATAGATTAAAGACTTAAATGTTAGACCTGAAACCATAAAACCTTAGAAGAAAACCTAGGCAATACTGTTCAGGACATAGGCATGGGGAAGGACTTCATGACTAAAACACCAAAAGCAATGGCAACAAAAGCCAAAATCGACAAATTGGATCTAATTAAACTAAAGAGCTTCTGCACAGCAAAATAAACTACCATCAGAGTGAACAGGTAACCTACAGAATGGGAGAAAATTTTTTGCAATCTACCCATCTGACAAGGGGCTAATATCCAGAATCTACAAAGAACTTAAACAAATTACAAGAAAAAAACAACCCCATTGAAAAGTGGGCAAAGGATACTAACAGACACTTCTCAAAAGAAGACATTTATGCAGCCAAGAGACACATAAAAAAATGCTCATCACCACTGGTCATCAGAGAAATGCAAATCAAAACCACAATGAGATACTGTCTCACACCAGTTAGAATGGCGATCATTAAAAAGTCAGGAAACAACAGATGCTGGAGAAGATGTGAAGAAATAGGAAAGCTTTTACACTGTTTGTGGGAGTGTAAATTAGTTCAACCATTGTGGAAGACAGTGTGGCGATTCCTCAAGGATCTAAAACTAGAAATACCATTTGACCCAGCAATCCCATTACTGGGTATATACACAAACGATTATAAATCATGCTACTATAAAGACACATGCACACATATGATTATTGCGGCACTATTCATAATAGCAAAGACTTGGAACCAACCTAAATGTCCATCAATGATAGACTCGATTAAGAAAATGTGGCACGTATACACCATGGAATACTATGCAGCCATAAAAAAGGATGAGTTCATGTCCTTTGCTGGGATGTGGGTGAAGCTGGAAACTATCATTCTCAGCAAACTATCACAAGGACAGAAAACCAAACACTGCATATTCTCACTCATAGGTGGGAACTGAACAATGAGAACACTTGGACACAGGATGGGCAACATCGCACACCAGGGCCTGTCATGTGGTGGGGGCTGGGGGAGGGATAGCATTAGGAGAAACACCTAATGTAAATGATGAGTTGATGAGTGCAGCAAACCAACATGGCACATGTATACCTATCTAACAAACCTGCATGTTGTGCACATGTACCCTAGAACTTAAAGTATAATAAACAAGAAAGAAAAAAAAGAAAAATAAAAAAAACATAAACCTGACATAAAAAATTCAGCAAAAAAACGGCTGCTTGATTCAACTTTTACTGTGGGAGGGGTGAAGAAAAATCGTAACCATAATTTTCGTAACTACAAGCCAGCTCTCATAAATGCTTGAGTCCTTATGCCATGTTTTTGAGGGTCTGAAAAAAAATTTCAACTGGAGAATTTAATTTAAAATGGCCTGAGGCTGGATCCTTTCTGGGAAACTGTGAGTTAAACACAGGCCTTCGAGAATTTTCTTAAATTTTTTATTTTTTTAGAGCTGTTTTAGGTTCACAACAAAATTGAGAGTAGAGTAGACACATACCCCTTATACGCTATGCCCCTACACATGTACAGTGTTCCCCATTATCAACAACCCAATCCAAGTGGTACGTTTGCTACAACTGATTAACCTACACGCATCATCACCCAAAATCCATAGTTCACATTAGAGTTCACTCTTGGTGCTTGGAATTTTACATATAAGGTTCAAACTAAAATGAGAAGCTCACTGTCCAAAATCACAATACCCACAAGCAAAGAGGTAGTCTGAGAGACAACAGAAATAACAGACACCAATTTTAGACCTGCATAGATTTTTGATATTATATGAAATTAAGTATATTTACTATATTGAGAGGAAAAATAAGTTCAAAACTATAAGCAAGAAACAGATGCATAAAGTAAAATCAGTCATATTGTAAAAATAAACTTATAGAAATATATTTAAATTAAAAATTCAATAGGCAAGTTAAATAGTAGATAAGAAGAACCTGAAGAAGAGTTTAATGAACTGGAATGTAAATCTAAAGAGATTATCCAGTGGCTAGAAAGATGGGAGACAAAAAAGAAAAAATAAACAAAAAGAATAAGTGAAAAGACATGGAAAATAGAGAAAAAGGTCTAACAAATTTAATCAGAATTCCATAAGGATAATAGAAACATAAGTTGAGAGGTAATATTTAAGGAGATAACGACTGAAACCCTTCTCAGAATTATTCAAAGATATATATCCTAACATACAGGAAGTCCAGCAAATCACAGACAGTACGCATAAAAAACAATTCACATCTAGATTCATGAAAATGAAACTAAAAATCCACATTCATATACACACAAAAGATCTTAAGCCACAGAAGGGACAAGCGAGAAGACTAGAAACAAAACAAAATAAAGCAAAATGCAAAACAAAACCCAAAACACTGTAGAGAATAGGCATTGGCAACAGACTGACTACGATCTTTACAACAGAAATAATGAAAACTATAAGATGGTGGAATAATACCTTAAGTGGACTGAGAGAAAATAATTGTCAACCTAGAACTGCACACCCAGCAAAACTATATTCAAGTGCAAGGATAAAATAAAGACGTTTCCAAACAGACCTGAGAGTTTACCACCAGTAGACCCTCACTAAAGGTGATTGTAAAGGATTTTCCTTAAGAAGGAAAAATGTAATCCCAGACAGATTTGAGATGCAAAAAAGGCTGATTATGAAACATATTGATAAGTATGTGCATAAATCAAAATAATAGTTGACTGCAAAAAATTAGAACAATAATAGTGACGTCTAACTTGTGGGGGAAAAGAACAGCAATTTAGGCAGCTAAAATATTGGACAACAACAGCTTTGAATTTGGCAGTGGGTGGTCCATGTTAAAGAACCTTGTTTTATTTACAAGAGTGTTAAATTTATAAAATACTTAGATTGTAAGTTAGTATACATGTTTTATTATAAAGGTAAAATTGTATGAATAACTTCCAAGACGTAGAGGGGAGAAACTAGAAAAAGAAAAAGAAAAAATAATTTAGTCAATTCTAAAAGTGTAGGGAAAAAAAAAACCCAAACAAAAAACAGAAGAACCAGGACACGTAGATAAGTAGAAAGCACATACAAGATGGTAGAAATTAAGTCCAAATATATCCATTATCACAATAAACAGAAAAGGGCTAAACTTCTTAGTTAAGGTTGTCAGACGGTATTTTTTTTTTAAAGTAACTCGCTTTATGTTGATTTTAGAAAACACACCCCAAACCATAAGGAACAAAAATGTTAAAAGTTCAAGTATGGAAAAAAATATGTAGTAAACCCCCAGGAAATTGTAGCCCACAAAAATACCAATAAAAAAAGAATTTAGAAAGAATGTCTTCAGCATTCGACTTCTGTCCTTCCCTTTACTTTTAAATAGGGACAGGCTAGATTTATTTTCTTCTGTTGAGAGATGAGTAGGATTAGGATGTGACAGACTCTTGATCATTTAAGACTTTTCCTGTATGGTATACATTTCTTCAGTTTCTTAGAGGACAAGTTTTTCCTTATTTACTTTTGGGATTTTTTCATGATAGAACAGAGTAACTAAAAATATTTCTTCAGCCACATACATAAACCCATGTTTTATTTTTGGACATTACTTATCACACTATGGCATAGGTTTTACTGTGTTAGCAAAACTAACAAGAAAACTGCTATAGCTATATTAACATCATACTAAAGACTGTCTAAGGAAAAAAATTGGTAGAGATAAAGAAGAAAGCTATATAATAAAATGATTTATTAAGAAGATATAACTCTAAACTTTAATGCAGCTAATTATAAACTCTCAAAATTATAAAAATTGACTGAACTACAGAAAAAAATAGAAAGACCCAATACATTAGTGGGAGATTTTAATATATCTCTGTCAGTAATTAACAGATGAAGCAGATAAAAAATCAAGGGATATAGATGATTTGAACATAATTAATAGGCTTGATCTAATGAACAGTTATAGATTACATCCAATAATTCAAAAATATTGAATCTAAGCACATATGAAATATTTATTAAAATTGGCTACATGGAGACTATAAAATTCTCAATAAATTTCAGAGAATTGATATCAAACAAATCTTATTTTTGAATCAAAATGTAACCAATTTAAAAATTAATAGCAAAAAGATAATTGGGAAATAGCATACATTTAAACAACATATGGGTTAACGAATCAAAATGCAAATTCAAAAGCATTAGAAATGAGAGATAATAAAAGCATTATATTTCAAAACATTGGAGGCAGGGAAAGTAGTATTAGAAGAAAATACACTTATTTAAATACATTAGAAAAGAAGACTAAACAGTGAATTAAAAACACAAGAATAGCAGAATAAGCCCCCAAAATGTATAGGAAAGAGAATAAATAATTTAAAACAAACACCCCCCACAGAGAAAAATGAATGAATTAGAAAATAAACATATAAAAAGAATCCACAAATATAAAAGTTTGTGCTTTGAAAAAATTAATAAAATTGACAAGACTGTGGCAATATTTGTCAATAGAAAAATGAGAAATGCATTATAAATAACATTAAGAATTAAAACAGGGACATAATGGAATAGAATTGTTTATGCTGAATAGATAAAAATATGTGTGTATTACATATGTTTTAAAGTCAATGAATCTGGAAATCTAGGAAATAAAATAATTTATTTGAAAAATGCAGTTTACTAAAACTGACACAAAAAGAAATAGAAAATATAAATAACCCTATAATCATTAAATAAATTGAATTAATAGTTTAAATTTTTCCCACAAAGATAACATCAGAATAAGGAGATTTTTACCAATATAGTTATTCAGATATTTAAGGGGCAAGTAATTTAAATCCTATACAAACTATCAGTGGTTAGAAAAAGAGAATATTCTCCAAATGTTTTGCAGCTAGCATAACTTTGACACTAAAATAAGGTAAGGACATTATAAAGTGGAAAAAGGCAATTTCACTTGTGATCATTGAAGAAGAAAACAAAATAAAATATTAACAAACAAAATTTAGCACCATCCAGCACTGTACTAAAAATAAAATACGTTATGACTGCGTTGTTTTTTATCTCATGAATGCCTGGTTCATTTAATATTGGAAATTTTGTTAATGTAGCATCACTTCAGCATCATTGAAAGGAAATATACAATCTTCTTAACAGCTGCAGAGGAGATAGTTAATAGAATTTACTATCTGTCTCTAATTTAAAACCAAAAACTTCTACAAACTAGGAATAGAAGAAAAATTTACTTGATAAAGACATCTACAAAAATATTAAAATATGACAAATATCATACTTGATGGGGAAATGTATGAATTTCTGTTAACATCAGGAACAACCAAGCATATCCAACTTCTGTGAAGACTGAAACTTATACTATTTTGGGGGCTCTGATTCATGAGTGTTAGTATTTACTGACCTGTTGATATCACCTCCTCTTATTTTTTGCAACTCCACACCTAGTCTTCTTTTCTTTTTCAACCCTTTAACACCTCTGTAACCAATATTCCTTGCCTTAACTTCCTATTGATTGAACTATCTCAAAACTCAAGCCTCAGAACTACAAATAAGAAATTATGTATTAAAATTGATATAAGGAAGAATGCACAAAGAATATTGGAGACTTAGAGATTAGGTCTTTCTATTCTGAGATCTTTTAAAACAATTTATTGGAAATGCTTCCCAATTTCACTAGGCTTCCCTTTCTATACCTAGAATACTCTGCAAATCCTAATAACTCCTGAAACTCACAGGGGCCTGTGCAAATGAGGGCCTAAGTTTTATTTGCTTCTTGAGGACCTAAGCTATATGTTTTAGAGATGTAAACTAGTGCAATAAGACGAAAACTCAAAGTTCAAAAATTTGAATAAAAAGGAACAAAGCCATTACTATTACTAGGTGATACAATTGTTCACATCAAAATCCCCAAATAATCAACAGACATATTTTTTGGAATTAACTAGCTTGCTGTTTTAAAACAATGTATAAAATTAAATTGCATGTCTATACTTTGGAAATGATTAGAAAGATGATTTAAAAGACATCATTACAGTGCAACCCCCACTTCCCCCAACCAACCAGCCAACCAAAGCAAGCACCACCTAGGATTATATCTTGCAATAGATGATCAAGAACTTTATGCAGAAAAGTATAGAATTTTATTGAGGCCAAGGTGCGAGTATTGCTTGAGTCCAGGAGTAGTTCAAGACCAGCCTGGGCAACATAATGTGACCCTGTCTCCCCCAAAAAAAAAAAAAAAAAAAATTATTGAAAGTCACTGGCAAGAAATACTATGTTCATGGATAGGATGATTCTGGCTCTTAAAGATGTCATTTTTTTCTCTAATATTATCATTGCATCATTGTAAACCTGCTCTTCTTTCTCCATTCTTTGTTTATAGGGAGTTGAACTTGTCAAATTAATGTCTACAGTGATATGTATGAAACAAAGGGAAGAAGAATTCTTGCTAACCATCAGACCTTTTGCAAACAGGATGCAGGTAATGCATAAGAGATACTATATTTTCTTACTTTTTTTAGGTTAATAGGTTTGCTCCATTTCAGCCACTAATTGTGATTCTTGATTCAGTGTCATTGATATTATATTTTAGATAATCCTCTTAGTTTCCATATTTATCCATACTCACATCATTGTAAATTATAGCATAATTTTAAATGCCTTCATAAATTATTTTTTTCCCACTATTAGGGACACATTACATTTATGCTAGGAAAACTTAGAAATGTGTTGTCTTTGCTATTATTTATTTCTTATGTTACTAAGGTAACCCCACACCATTAGGATTGAGGCACATGTGCTCACTTTAAAGCTGCTGGTATTGTTCCTAAGAAGTTGCACAAGCCTGGGCTTTTAACTGAAGACAAACTTTTCACTGACATATAAAAAACTACAAATGCTCTGGTAATGGTAAGAATGATTCTGTATTAGTTCTCTGTTGCTGCTGTAACAAGTTACCACAAACTTAGTGGCTTAAAACAGTACAAGTGTACTATCTTCCACTTAGTTCTGTAGGTTCAGAAGTCTGAAACAGGGCTCACTGGGTTAAAATCTAGGCGTTGGCAAGGTTTCATTCCTTTCTATAGACTTTAGAGGAGATTCTGTTTCCTTCCCTTTCCAGCTTCTGAAGGCTGTCTGAATTCCTTGACTCCTGTTGCTTTTACTCCATCTTCAAAGCAAGTTACAGAGGGTTCAGTCTTCCTCACATCACATCATTCCAACCTCCTCTTCTGCCTCCCTCTTCAACCATTATATTGGATTATATTATACTGGATCCTGGATAATCCAGGATCATCTCCCTTTCTCAAGGTTCTTAATCACATTTGCAACGTTCCTTTTGCCACCTAAGGTAATGTTCACAGGTTCTAGGCATTAGGACATGAACATCTGGCCAGGAATGTGGGCAAGCTCTCTAAATTCCTGTCCCCTTCCCCTGCTTACTTTACTGTGGCCACATTACCACCCACCCTCCAGACTTGGTGCTCACTTACTCTTCTCTTGGAGTAGAACACTTTCACCGAGAGATTCTTATGGCTTACTCCAATACTTTGTTCATATCTCTGCCCAGAGGTCCTGCCATGACCACTACACCTAAAATCTATCCTGTGCTTTCTAATCTTACCATGTATTGTTTTTCTTCATAACACTTCCCACTCCTCTGTGGCTCCACTTCTGAAAAGTAAGCTCCTTTAGGGTAGAAACTTGGCCAGCTTTGTTCCCCTGTGTTACTCAGGGTCTAGCTCAGTGTCTGGTACATAAGAGCTATGATGCATGAATGAATCAATTTTTAAATTTCATCCCTTAACATCACATTTTTTTTTCAGTAAGCTGGATCACAGTGAAATCTCTATAATTTGAATTATGAGTTGAATTCAAATTGAAGTATGAAATCTATGGCCATTGTACTTTGTTATTTCACTAAGAGTGCTATATGAGTAGCCAGATTTACAACTGACATCAGTAAGTAATACTCAATGTGATATATTAAGTATCCTTCTGTAAATACCCTACTATTGATTGTATTATTTTGCAGTAGGGATTGATAATAATAGTGATGAAGAAAATTAGCATCATCTTTGCTAGCATTTATGGACAACTTGCTATGTGCCATTAGTAAGTTCTTTACATTATTTAATCTTCTCACTCCATGAGGTCATAAAGTACACATTTACTCTTTTGTCTGCCCAAGAAAAGTATCCCCCTTACACAACACTTCTTTTAGGAAACTGCTTCTCTCCATTCCCACCAAGTGGTTTTGGAAACAGCCCAAGCACAATCCTTTGGCCTCTTGGCTATCAGGATGGATATATGAACCAGTCTGGACCAATCAGAATCCTTTAGTGGGAATCCAATAGTTAACACGTAATCCATATCAAGCCAGAGTTCTTCCTCTCAGTTTTTGGACTCATTATGGGAAGAGAGAGTTTCTTTTCCTCTTGGGTCCAAAAATGGCAAGGATATAGCCTGGAGCTGCTTGTGGTCTGTGGCGAAGTGGACAGAGGGAATGGATCAGGGACAGGAGTCAGATGTCCTGACTTATATAGTATGTGGTCTCATTTTCTCCATTTTATATATGAACAAACATGTCTCAGAGCTGTTATTTTCCGCAGGACAAATACCTTGTAAATAGCTAGTGAATGGTGGGGATTTTACCCCACATCAGCCTGCTTTCATTATCTATGTTTTCTTTAAATTTGCTGTATGCTCTGACATCCTAGCCACTTACTCTTTCCATACTTCCTGCTTTCTGAAAACACACAGCAAGGAAATGCACACTCTGTATTTCTAAAAAGGTGTTTCTTGGACAGTTGTTGCTCATCTGTACATCTTGTACTTGAATATGTTCACTTGAGGGTCTAGGGCTGGAATGACAAACAGGCCCCATCTTTCATGTTAATCCCAGGAGAATAAAGGTGGCTACCCACAGCTTTGTGTTGAGAAAGATTCTGAGGCTTCATCTGGCCTAGCAGAAAAGGAGGAAAGTGAAATAAGAATATAAGCTATTAAATTTGCTCAAAATGTTTGATAATTCAGATTGCCTTTTGGAAATACAGAGTTATACTTTTCAGCATCCAGGAAGTGTTGAACCAAGGACTCTTGTTTTTCAGTTCAAAAAATACTTTGTTAGCCCGGGACTCAACTTGTGTACCAAACCAAATTCCTCAACGGTCTTTTCACTGTGGAATGATGACATCTTCTAATGAACATCTTCCTTTGCAAAATGCCCAGACAGTTCTATGCTGCAATGATAGGAACAGCAACATGACCTGAATTTAGATTCTGGAACTGAGTGTCATTTATTGGGACCACTCTTTTTCGGTGAGAGAGATGTTAAATCACAGCCACCCTGAGAAAATTGTCATGCACTGGTATTGTTGAACATTTTCTAACAATCAGATTGGGCCTCACATTTTGTTGGTTGGAAGTTCCATTTCTTCATCTTTGGTCCAAGTTACTTAGCAATGACCAATCAAACTATGTGCCCACCATATTGTTTTGCATGTTTGACTAGAACATTGACAGATTAATAGGAAGGGTAAATAGCAGAGCACAACTGTGGGGGCCCAGTGTGGGGCAGCAGGATTGACTGCTCTGGACTTTGTTGTGTTTGCTCAGAGGAAGCCGCGGCAAAAGCCTGCTGGGATGAGGTGACCTGGGTCATGGGCATTTGTTTTTTGTCTCTATAGAAAACAATTGTCTTCTCAATGGAAGATGGCTTTTTTCTGAATCTACATGGTTCCACCAATGAGGAAGCATTTGCCATTCCAGGGTGCTTGCTAAAACACAGACATGCAAATAAAAAGGCCACACAAAAGTTCAAATTTACTGTATTTTTTCAGAGAATCCTTTGACTTATGTTAACCAGGAGAGAAGCCTAACTTTGGAAAATTTATCTTGAGGGTCTCTAAAACTTTGTCTATTTACTGCTAATTCCCAATATTTGATGTTTAGAATTTTGTGAAGTTTCAAAATCCAGCTACCTTTCCTTCTCCCACAGTTCATGAAGGCAGAACCCATGAACATGTAGCACTGTTGATTTTGTAAACCCTGGCTTTGGTAAAAATTTATTTTGATTTCAAAATTGCTCTACTCTGAATTGATATGAATGAAATACATTAATAATAAAGGAAAATCTACTTTGGGTAAGATTTAATTAATCAAAAGTGGTGGCTTGATTTAAAAGCCAGAGCTATGTTTCTGGTTGATAGATTTATTTGAGCATGACTAATTTTACATTTACAAACTTATCATGGTTCTTTAGAAAAAGGTTTACTTTTAATAAAAGACTCCAAAGTGTTCCACATGGATTTTTGATGAATTATTCTTGATCATTCTTGATGTATTTTATACACACACACACACACACACACACACATACATACATACATGTATACATACATACAGGCATACATAGAGACAGAGATCAAGAATATATATATATATATTCAATCAGCCAGACTCTCTTTCTGATCTGGTAGGAATGAAGAGAGGGTCAAATGGCACTCTACAATTTTCCGTTTTGGTAATTTTAATTCTACTTTGTCATGTCTGACTGGTGCTGTTTTCCAACTTTTTCTTCCCCTTCACTTTCTCTTCTCTTTACTCCTTTACTTTTTTGTGTCTGCCTTCCTAGAGCTTAGGGCTTAGGAAAGGCATGAAAGTGTTATTGGTGGTGGTTGTGGAAACAATTTTAGTTTCTGGCTGCCTACTTCAGGTCCCATTGAGCTTTTTCCACTTCTAAAACTGAAAAACCACCATGGGATGGGGTGGTGGATGGTGATGTACTCTAAACAATGAACCAAAACCCCGTCAAAACTCAGGGAATAAAAACCTCTCAGTGGCATTAAAAACTAAGACTAATCTGAGTATTAAGAAAAATCAAAACATCTGCACTGATATGATATCCTTTTTATTCATTTAAAATTAACCAGTATTTATTATGCACATCCTCTGTGCTACTCAGAGGATAGTTTCTGCCCTCAGGGAGCTGAGAGTCTTGGGTTGAGGCATGGGGAAAGATAATTATACAAAGAAATACAATATGGCATTCCCAATTCCCCATAGTATTAATTATAATACAGGGATTGGGAGTGAGCTCAGGAGACTGGTACCAACTCTATGTTTTCAAGACACTGGAAAATGCATGTGGTTTTGTGGCTCTTTATTAGACTAATCTCATTTGCAAGGCATAAAACAAATAACAATTGTCTAGCTGATGCCTGTACTATAGAAACATGGTAAAACTTGGGAAAGAGCATTGGACTGTGAGTTTTGTAGGGCAGAAATTGCACCTGTCACATTCACTGTATGGAGTGAGACTGGCACTCCATGAATATCTGTGGAATTAATGGATAGATAAGAAGCCTGAGGACTGTAGTTGCCACTTACTGGCTGTGTAGCTTTTAGCATGGCCTGGGGTCTCTCTGACTATCTGTTTCTTCACCTATCAAATGGCTCTGCAATACCTGTCCATGTCACAGTATTATCATAGGATCAAAGCCTATTGGTTTAGCATCCACTATATGGGAGGCACTAATCTTAAGGATTACATGTGTTGACTCATTTCATCTTCATAACAAAAATAGGAGGCAGGTACTATTATAATTATTATTTCCATTTTACAGATGATTATGTGTCATTATTTTGTCAACTGTAAAGTACTGTATTAATCAAAGAAATGGCATTGTAATTATTATTTCTAATGTTCTAAAAGGCAAAAGCATGCAGATACCCACTATGAAGTTCTGTCTCTCATCTGACTCTGTGTCTGTCTCACACTGCCTTCCTCTGAGATTTATAGCATGAGAATATTTTGGGCATCCATTTTAATTAAGGATCTTTGGATGATGCAGAACTAAAAGCCCTGCAAATCTCCTCCAGAAAGAAAGATATATCTTCATTTTGAATATGTGTGCCCTGGAATTGGAACCAAAAAGCCACCAGGACCTGCTGCCATGCAAGAGATGAGCTTCTCTTTGACTCCGTCTTCCCCATGGGTACAGGGCCTCTCCCTGCTTCTCTCTGAATGTGTGTTCCATTCTTTTTTCCCTTCCACATGGCTTCTTCTGTTCCTTTATCATTGTGGTTTGTCTATAATTGCTATGGCCTTTCCATCTCCAGTGCTGTCTTGTGCACTTTTAGTTCTACTCTCACAATTCTTTGGCTTATTTTCCCATCATTCTAAGTGCTGAGATTGGGCCAGCTAATTTTCTCATGCTCTGCCATATCACAATTCTTTGGTCAGCTGATGGTCAGAAAATCTAGAGCAAGGAGGGCAGGCAGTGTCCTGAGCTGTGAGCCTGGTGAGGGCTGTGGCCAGGGTTGTTCTGTCCAACAACTGAATATAAAATATAATTGAGGTATCAATTTTATTGTTTGCTAAATGTACCAAATAGGGCTTTTTATTAAATAGTCTCATATTAGAATTTGTGAATAGAGATTTTAAGGCTTGTTTCTAATTTTAAAAATTGAGTTGTGGCTGGGTGCGGTGGCTCACGCCTGTAATTCCAGCACTTTGGGAGGCCGAGGCGGGCGGATCACGAGGTCAGGAGATCGAGACCATCCTGGCTAACACGGTGAAACCCCGTCTCTACTGAAATTACAAAAAATTAGCCTGGCATGGTGGCGGGTGCCTGTAGTCCCAGCTACTCGTGAGGCTGAGGCAGGAGAATGGCGTGAACCCGGGAGGCGGAGCTTGCAGTGAGCCGAGATCACACCACTGCACTCCAGCCTGGGCGACAGAGCAAGACTCCATCTCAAAAAAAAAAAAAAAAAAAAAAAAATTGAGTTGTATTAAAACTTTTTGTTTTTAACCTGTAGGTAGTGACCTTCAGTTTATAAGAAGAAAAGAGTTTTGAGGTAATGACCTCTCAGATTTTAAGTCAAATGGGAAAAGGTAGTGAAGTGAATGTTTAAAGTCTCTGTGTTGTGATCAATTTGCAGCAGGTTATACAATCGATTTCGTGGGTTACTATCTACATTTTTAAGAAAGAGAAATAGAATGGAAAAATAGAGAGGTCAATGTGCTATATACATGTCAAGATGTTTCTTGTTTCCTGATACTTTTATTTCAGTTATATATATGTGGGTATTTATTGGCCATGATGTAAGATGCATTTCTTACCATGGGGTGTAGACCAAAAGCTTGTAAGCTACCAGTGTAGAGGTTAAAATCTGGGTTTGGGGTCCTTTGACCCTGGGTTCAAATCCTGGCTGTACCATTTAGAGGCTGTGTTACCTTACAACTCCAAACCACAGTTTCCTCTTCAGCAAAATATGTTAATATGACTTACCTCATACAATCAAGATGCTAAATCAATGTAAGCAAACTGCTTAACATACAACTCAACATAGCTTATTTTTGTTATTTTAAATGAAATTGACCTCTGTTGGCTGTTTAGGTTAAGTATGGGAAGTTTCTGGAAATGCTTTACATCAGAGATGTGGGTACGAATTATGAGCAAGGTTAGGAAGTAGAGGAAAAATACAGAGCAGAGAAAACATCTCAGACATTTTAATGCCAACAGGAAAATCCATTTCTAGGTCCTTTCATGTGTTCTAGGTGACTTTCAAGTCTCTTTTTCAATGCAACCATGAAACACATTAATATTATATATTGTATATATTATATGGATGCACTGATCCAATCCACAGAGATTCTGGGAAGAATGATGGGGACACTGGTAGCCCACAAGTTGAGTAAGGAAATGAAAAAGTGGAGAGTAATCCAGTGAGACATGATCTATTTCACCTCTTTTTTGCTGCACAACAAATGCCCCAGAACACAGGAGTATAAAACAACAATCATTTTATTATGCTCATTAATTGTGTGAGTCAGGAATTCAGACAGAGCACAGTAAGGATGACTTGCTTCTGCTTCATGATGTCTGAGGCATTCACTGGGCAGACACAAAGGCTGAAGTTGACTCAGATGGCTGGGGACTGGAATGATCTGGAAGCTTCTTCTCTCACATGTTTGGCACCTGGGCTGGGGTGATTCAAAGGCTGCATTCAGCTGGAACTGTAAATCAGCACATCTACTCAGGGTCTCTCTCTGTGGTGTGAACTTCCTCATAATGGCCTCAGGGTATTGGTGCTTCTCACAGGTTGGCTAATATCTCCAAGAACAAGTGTTCCCAAAAGAGAAGGAGGAAGATGCATTGCCTTTTATCACCTAGACTCGGAAATCACATAGCACCACTTCCATACTCTATTGGTCAAAGCAGTCACAAACCTGCCCAGATTCAAGGGGAGGGGACAAAGATCCTTTCTCTCATTGGGAAGAATTGAGAATTGCATGTAAAAAATTAAAAAGGAAGTTTTAAAGGCGTGGTAACAAGCAAAATCTTTAGTTGTGGCCTTTATACCTTCATGTTCTCACCATGAATGAATCACAGACAACTCGGGTAGAGACCACGAGGAGTCATTTATATTTTATTATAGATGGTCTCTTGAGATATCTTCGGAATGGACTGAGCTTCCTAGTGATACTTTGCTTTGGTTAATTCTGAAACAACTTTGTATTTCTTGACTTTTCCCCTCCAAAAGTTAAGGTTAAAAAGCTGCCAGATGTCAGGACCACCAGCCTCGGACAGTGTGAAAGCATTGAAAAATTAGTGAGGAAAACAGCTTTATCAAACCACAGTTAAAAGTCTCCTCCGCCTCTCCATTCTTTCTGCATTTTAAAGCAGGTTCTATCTTACTAAAAATCTCTTCTTAGGAACGCTGGGATGGGAAATAGAATTCTTGGGTTTTAGTCCTGAGTTCATCACTACAGAGTGGCCTGGGCAAACAATTTCGCCTTCAGTATATTCCATGCTCTTTGAAGTCACTTTTGGTATTCAGTGACTCATTTTATGGCTTTCTAAATGGCCCAAATATGTTAATTTTATGAGCAAACTGAGCTATATATAATAACTTTTGTACACATAAACTGAAAATGTGACTTTCGATCTGTCATTTTACCAGTCAAATTAGCACAGATTAAAAACTCAATGTTGGTGAAAGTGCATTAATAAAGGCCTCTCCTACCACGTGGCTGAACACACTGTCTAATCGATGTGGCTTTTCTGCAGAGCAATTTGACTTGATTTTATGTATCAAATATGTTGAAACATCCATGCCCGTTGATTCCACTTATCCCTTCTGAGAATCTATCTTAAAAACCTAATTAGAGTGGGAGACCAAGATTTCTGTATAAGGATGTTCACTGCTATGTTATTTATAGTTATGCAATAATGGAAATCACCTATATTGTCTAATAATGGAAACATTTTATAACTTACAGTGCATACAAATAGTGATATTATGTGGCCAAAAAATCAGATTTTCTTAAAAAAGTATTCATACACAATAAATTTGCATAAAGTAATTAAAGTCTGCATGGAGAAAAACTGGCAGGAACTGCATCAAGATGTCTAGATACAATTATTGGTGCTTTTGTCCCCATTTGGAGGTCTTTCTGTTTTTCAAAAATCTATAATGAATGTGTATTATTTTTATAATCAGAAAAGAAAATGAATGATATTGATGTATGTTTTTACACATCATTTTCTTTTCTTTGTGTTAAAGCCTGCCTCCAAAAAAGAGAGCTTGAAGGTTCATGCCTTCCTGAGTTTAACACTCACAAATGCTGTGCCTTCTGCCCTGCCCCTTCCCAAGCTCCCTGCTCCCTTTAACACCAATTGGACGTCCCATACTGGGAACTGGATCTGAGATGTGACGGTGGTGTGAGGCTGAGAAAGGGAGTCAGCCAGGAGGTCAGGTGTGAGCCAGGAGGTCAGGTGTGAGATCTTCTGGTGGTTATGCAGTCCTACAGGCACTAGGCCGCCCAAGGCCTGCATGTGGCCCTTGGTTGAAGGCCTCAAATCTACAAGGCTATTAGCTAGATTTTACTGGAGTAAATTACCCCTGCTTTGCAAGAACATTAACAAATTACCATGAAAATGCTGTCATCACCAGCACAAATGTCTCTTAAAGGCTCACTTCAGTGGGTTTCTTTGGTCCCAACTCAGTAAGATTCACTTGTTAGTTCTACAAAAAGGGAAAAATGAATCTTGAGGTAATTTGCACTTGGGTGAATTCATCGACCCGTTTTTTTTTTTCTTTCCCCATAGGGTTTGTTTTGTATCCAGGCTTATGCACAACTTTTGTAAGCAGCAATAGCAGTTTTGTGGGCACTTGAAATGGGAGAGAATTCTAAAGTCGCTGCCTCCTGTTAAACACCAAGAATGGGGAGGATTGCCTCTTAGTCCAGAGTAAAAGATATCTGAATTAAAAACAATGAGAATTTTAACTTTAAAAGTCTGATTCTGGAAACAACTACAGGCTACAACTTGTATGTATTATAGTTTGCATTTTGAAGCTTACTAGTTTGGTTAATAAAATTACATAGCCATCCTATGAATGTAACTATTACATGCATTACGTTTAGAGTCCTTAGACGATACACACCCAGTGAGTCCTAAGAAACCATGCACAGGTTACATTTGGAATCCAGAATGGCAGGTCCCAAATATTAGGGTGAAAACTATGTACATCAATTCCTCTTTGAATGTTAGCATTTTATAACTGTCTGATCATTACATCTAATTAAAATTTGAAAGCAGGCTCAAAATCAGGAAGGTGGTTAAGAAGTTTATTAAGTAATGATATTTAACACAAATTTGTATAGGCTGAATTTACATGATCAATTAGAGTTTGTTCTTAGAATGACTCACATTCAGAAATAAGTTATTTTCCAAAGCACAGCATATGAAACTTTATCTATTTTGGATTTATTAATTAAGGTTTGTTGTTGGTACAAATTGTTTCCATTCTGAAATAGATGCAACTGGTTAGGTCAGTCAGAGACCCAGGTAGAAAAAGAAAATCTAGCTTTCCTTGGTTGTTTTCTAATCTGCATATAGGTAGAATACCCCACAGGAGGGCTAAATATGTAAAGAAAAGAGAAAAACAAGCCCTCCCACCCCCAAATGGATACACAGAAATTCACTAAAATACAAAGAAGTTTGGTTTTTAGTAATGTCAGAAAGTTCCCCAAATTAGAATAGCTAGATCACAGCATACATGAGGTTTTGTGTCATTGAAAAACAAATCTTTTAAATTACTTATGGCAATGGGCATCATGATCTTGTTAATGCTTTGAGTCTCAGGATATCCTAGTCCAGTCCTCTAAAGTCCTCTTGATATTTGGGCTTCTAAAATAGAGACCATTTACTGAAGTGCGTTGGCCCAAGAGGAAATATAGCAGACATCAACCCACCTGTTCTACCCTCCAGCGGGTCCTGAGGGCAGGACCCTCACTCCTACCATCAGGAATCTGCAGGCTCAAGGCTTGACTTGGGATGGGGTCAGTGCTTTCCTCTAATTGTATCTGGAGATGGGAACAGTTCCAAAGTGCACTGTGTGAAAAATTTATATCCATCAGATCGTTTTGCAGCAATCTCCTGTTTTTCAACAGGGGTCTCTGGAGCAAATACCTTTCTCCCCAGTCCCTATCCTCCCCATTAATACAATGAAGGATATTCTAAGTTGCAATATACAATGGTTATGTAATGATTAGGTCAATATGTGCATATTTAATAATTCTAGTAAATAGCAAATCTTAATTTTATAAATAAAATTCTTGTAAGTACATGGGATCTCATCAGTGATATCCACAGAGAAGGAGAATGCTTTTTTACATAATATTATCCAATATGTAACAGACAATTTACAGCGGTAAATATTTATTTTGCTCAGGTGTTTGAGAGGTTCAGCTACTTTGGTCTGGTTCTCAGACTCTCATGGCTCCCTCACATGTCTGTGGTCAGCTGTGGGTCCACTAGACAGCAAGGCTGATTTTGGCTGGGGTGTGTTGGCTGTTGACTGATCCAGGATGGCCTCGTCTGGGAAGACTGGGTGACTTGGCTCTGCTCTGTCTTTCACCCTCTAGCAGGCTAGCCAGAGCATATTCTCATGGCAATGGCAGAGGGCAAGACTGAACAACTCCAATAGTGCCTCCCCTTGAAGCCAATGCTTGTGTTTGCATTTGCTAGCATCACATTGGCCAAAGCAAGTAACATGGCTAAGCCTAGATTCCCAGTGGGAGTTGCCACAACGTTATATGGCAAAGGGATATGGATGCAGAGACAGGTGAATGACTCCAGCCCTAAATGCAATCAGTGTACCACATGGGGTAATGTTTTAAAACATTATATGATTTATTTTGCAATAAGAGAGAGGAAGAGAGGAAGATGGAGAGGAGAGAGAGAGAGAGTCAGGGAGAGACAGAAATCTGTTTCTTTTTATAACCTATTATTAAAAGTGATAAACAATTACTTTTGCTGAATTTATTCATTAGAAGTGAGATATTACTTCTAGCTCATACTTAAGGGAAAGTGTTACCCAGGGTGTGAATCTGAGGAGTGAGGGATGGATCAGTAAGTAGTATCTTAGAGGCTGCCACTACAAAACCCTCTGGGAGACTCTGATGAGCACCAAGTTTTGGGAAATATTGAATTACTGTAAGAAGACAAAGGGAATATTCCGAAAAGACTTGAGGATGTAGAAAATTTTACTCACGACACAGTAATAAATAGCTTACCAAACAAAAAAAGCCCAGGACCAGATGGAGTTAAAGCTGAATTCTACCAGAGGTACAGAGGAGCTGGTACTATTTCTTCTGAAACTATTCCGAACAACTGAAAAGGAGTGACACCTCCCTAAGTCATTTTATGAGACCAGCATCATCCTGATACCAAAAGCTGGCAAAGATACAACAGCAATAAAGAAAACTTCAGGTCGATATTCCTGATGAACATCAATGCAAAAAAACTCAATAAAATACTGGCAAACCGAATCCAGCAGCACATCAAAAAGTTTATCCACCATGATCAAGTGGGCTTCATCCCCAGGATGCAAGGCTGGTTCAACATGCACAAATCAATATACATAATTCATTACCTAAACAGAACTAAAGACAAAAACCACATGATTATCTCAATAGAGGCAGAAAAGTCCTTCAATAAAATTCAACATCCCTTCATGTTAAAAACTCTCAATAAACTAGGTATTGATGGAACATACCTCAAAATGAGAGCCATTTATGATAAACCCACAGCCAATATCATACTGAATGGGCAAAAGCTGGAAGCATTCCCTTTGAAAACTGGCACAAGACAAGGATGCCCTCTCTCACCACTCTCGTTCAACATAGTATTGGAAGTTCTGACCAGGGCAATCAGGCAAGAGAAAGAAAGAAATAGTATTCAAATAGGGAAAGAGGAAGTCAAACTGTCTCTGTTTGCAGATGACATGATCCTGTATCTAGAAAACTCCATCATTTTAGCCCAAAAGCTTCTTACACTGATAAGCAACTTCAGCAAAGTCTCAGGATACAAAATCAATGTGCAAAAATCACAAGCATTCCTATACACCAACAATTGACAAGCAGAGAGCCAAATAATGAATCATCTCCCATTCACAATTGCTACAAAGAGAATAAAATACTTAGGAATACAGCTAACAAGGGAAGTGAAGGACCTCTTCAAAGAGAAGTACAAACCACTGCTTAAGGAAATCAGAGGATACAAACGTATGGAAAAACATTCCATGCTCATGGATAGGAAGAATCAATGTCTTGAAAATGGCCATACTACTCAAAGTAATTTATAGATTCAGTGCTCTTCCCATTAAACTAACATTGACATTCTTCACAGAATTAGAAGAAACTACTTTAAAATTTATATGGAACCAAGAAAGAGCTCGTATAGCCAAGACAATTGTAAGTAAAAAGAGTAAAGTAAAAAGAACAAAATAAAAAGTAAAAAGAACAAAGCTGGAAGCATCATGCTACCTGACTTCAAACTACACTACAAGGCTACAGTAACTAAAACAGCATGGTACTGGCACAAAAACAGACACATAGACCAATGTAACAGAATAGAGATCTCAGAAATAAGACTGCACATCCACAACCTTCTGATCTTTGACAAACCTGACAAAACCAAGCAACAGGGAAAGGATTCCCTATTTAATAAATGGTGCTGGGAGAACTGGCTAGTGATATGCAGAAAACTGAAACTGGACCCCTTCCTTACGCCTTGTACAAAAATTAACTCAAAATGGATTAAAGACTTAAAAGTAAAACCCAAAACTATAAAAACCCTAGAAGAAAATCTAGGCAATACCATTCAGGACATAGGCACTGGCAAAGATTTCATGATGAAAACATCAAAAACAATTGCAACAAAAGCAAAAATTGACAAATGGGATCTAATTAAACTAAAGAGCTTCTGCCCAGTAATAGAAACTATCATCAGAGTGAACAGACAATCTACAGAATAGGAGAAAATTTTTGCAATCTATCTATCTGACAAAGGTCTAATATCCAGAATCTATAAGGAGCTTAAGTTTACAAGAAAAAAAAAAACCCCATTAAAAAGTGTGCAAAGACATGAACAGACACTTCTCAAAAGAAGACATTTATATGGCCAAGAAACATATGAAAAAAGCTCAATATCACTGATCATTACAGAAATGCAGGTCAAAGCCACCATGAGATACCATCTTATGCCAGTCAGAATGGCAATTATAAAAAGTCAAGAAATAACAGATGTTGGTGAGGCTGTGGAGAAATAGGAAGGCTTTTACACTGTTGGTGGGAAGGTAAATCAGTTCAACCATTGTGGAAGACAGTGTGGTGATTCCTCAAAGACCTAGAGCCAGAAATACCATTTGACCCAGCAATCTCATTACTGGTTATATACCCAAAGGAATAGAAATAATTCTATTACAAAAACACATGCATGTGTGTGTTCATTACAGCGCTATTCACAATAGCAAAGACATGGAATCAACCCAAATACCCATCAATGATTGACTGGGTAAAGAAAATGTGGTACATATACACCATGGAATACTATGCAGCCACAAAAAAGGATGAGATTGTTTCCTTTGCAGGGACACAGATAGAGCTGGAAGCCATTATCCTCAGCAAACTAACACAGGAACAGAAATTCAAACACTGCATATTCTCACTTATAAGTGGAAGGTGAACAATGAGAACACATTGACACAGGAAGGTGTCTGTCAGGGGCTGGGGGCAGGAGAAGGGAGAGCAAATAGTTAATGCATGTGGGCTTAATACCTAGGTGATGGGCTAATAGGTGCGGCAAACTACCGTAGCACATGTTTACCTATGTAACAAACCTGCATGTCCTGCACATGTATCCTGGAACTTAAAATAGAAAAAAATTTTACTCATGAGGTACTATGGATTCTAGAGGGTACAATGGAAAGTTTTAGGGCTGTGGCTTTGAAACACTTTTGATAGCATTCCACATTTGGAAATACAGTTTTCATCCCATCTTAGTAACACCTCCTCCCAAATTGCATATAATAATATTTATCTCACTATATGTGATATACATGGATACTAAATTTCCTATTCTAGTCTACTCTATTCTACCCCATTTGATTCCATTCTAGTCTGTTTAAATAATTGGTATTTGAGTCTGGCCAAATTAACCTCATGATGTGTCACATGGTCACAACTAGTAGTTATAAAATATTTATTTAGGGAAGTTAAGGAGAACTAGAAGAGGAAGGGTTCAGATTGTGAGATAGAAAACCTTAACCCCTCAATTAGTCTTGATAATCCTGGCCCTGTAATAGTCCAATAGCTACGAGTTACTAAGCACTTACTATGTGTTAGCACTGCAGTAAGCTTTTATGTATATACTTTGTTTCTGTTTGATTTTAAGAGCGATCCCATTATATATCAGTCTCCTTTTCAGTTGGAAATGAGGGAATAGTTTCATTAATACAGCGGAAACTGAGGCTCAAATAACTTAAGCGTTTTGCTGAATTACACAAAGATAGCAAGTGACACAACCTGAATTTAAACCTACCAGGGGTAGTTCCAAAAGCACAGCTCTTAGTCATTGCTGTGATCTTGTCCAGGATGCTGCCCAGACCATGGGGAAGTGAAAAACAAAAGATGTGAATGCATTATTATTATTCTCCACAGATAGGGTTTAATGAGTAATCAGAGCAATGACCCTACCATTTGTTCTTGAATATTTAGCCATCATACTGACGGTGCTTTAACTGATGTGCAGACATGCCTAGATTTTCTATTCCTTTTCTGATTTTACTCCTTAAATTTTATAGGTCTGATTGTCTTATAGAAAATGATACATTTCTCCAATGCAGTTATGCTTTGCTTTTACCTAAAAAGCTTACTTTACTATAGATTTAGTCTTTGCACACATATATTTTGTGTGTGGCTTTTAGGGGACATTCTCATTTGGGCTGGTAAAGAAGGAGTGCTACAGCAACCACCTATGATGTTACTGAGATATCATAACAAACATTTTAAATAATTTCTTTGTCTGGACTTAGGCTATCTTTTATAGCTTATCAAAAATGGAAATAGGCTGGGTGCAGTGGCTCACACCTGTAATTCCAGCACTTTAGGAGGCCAAGGTGGGTGGATCACCTGAGGTCAGGGGTTCGAGACCAGCCTGGCCAACATGGCAAAACCCCATCTGTATTAAAAAATACAAAAAAATTAGCCGGATGTGGTGGCGCATGCCTGTAATCCCAGCTACTCAGGAGGTTGCGACAGGAGAATCACTTGAACCTGGGAGGCGGAGGTTGCAGTGAGTGGAGATCGCACCATTGCACTCCAGCCTGGGCAACAAGAGCGAAACTCTGTCTCAAAAAAAAAAAAAAAAAAAAAAAAAAAACCAAGCAAAAAACAAAACAAAAATGGAAATAACATCCAGCTTTCTATATGATTGTTAGATTGATTAGCATACCTGAGTCTTAAACTCTGCTGTATCTACCCTTGAGTCCAGACTAAGTAGATGTGCCAAAGAGTCCAATATTATGAATGTGATTATTTTTCTTTGAAACATATTATATTTGCATAGCACTTTGCAACTTACAAAGCTCTTTTCTAAATATTTTTCTTCTTCAGATCCTTAAGATAACCCTGGGATGAAAAAGGGGCAGATAATTTTATGACCAGTTTTCTAGTTGTAGAAATGGAGATTCTGAATGGTTAAGTGCAATGTATCGGATACTTGATGTGCACTAAGTCATTTAATCCAAATCTCAGTGTTACAAAGGAGGGAACCAAAACTCAGAGAAGTTAGGTGACTTATTCCAGGTCACACAGCTAATCAATTCAGAAGTGAGTCAAGAATTCAAGTCTCTAGATTCCTATATCAGTACTCTTTCTACCACACTCTGCCACCTCTGTTCCAGTTCCATAAGTATAAATGTAGACATCACAAACACAGTATCATTTATGTTCACATGTCTGTACATGTTATGGAAATATTTTATAATGCAAAGTGGGTCTGGAAGATAGTCTATGTACATTTTTTTTTCTCATCAGAAATGTATTATTCAACTTCTTAGCAGATCTAACATTTCCTGACTTTAATTTCTAAGCCCATGACATCATCTGTCCTCTAAAATGGACAATGTAATGCAGGATTATGTTGTTAGGGGATTATAAAAAGCTATTTGTCATCTTCAAAAGTAAGAGGGAGCTCTGATGTAGCTTAAAAAGTAAAGTTTGTTGCCCGAGCTAAGTGATTAGACTGCCAGCGGTCTTTTGCATACTCTTCAAGCATATGTTTCAAATGACATATTTGCATATGTGTAAGAATATAAAATAAAATTTCACCATAATTCAATAAATGGGGTCCAAAAATTTTTATTCTCATAAATTATTGTATTGCTTTTTTGAAGGTTAATAGAAGACAGTATTTTTAACCAGTCTGTACTGTCATAAAGCCCACAGACATAGAGAATCAACTGAATGCTATTAAGTTGTTCTACAACAAATCTACAACAGACTATAGATTGCACAGAGAAAATCCCAGATGATCATGGATAGTCGCTTCCTAACTTGCCTCTGACCCACTCCTCCCTGCAACAAGAACTGAAGCTTGTTAGAGGATGGGAGTCAATCACCAATGACCTTACACAGTATCCAAATTTACACCCTCTCAAGATTTTGCAAAATATGACATATGCATTTATGCTCACACATGCATATTTAGTTCCCAACTTACAGATGGGATTTCTTACTAAAATCTGTTTATAAATAGGTTGTTTATAACTCAAAACACATTTTTTCATAGAAATTCTCCATCCAAAAACATTTACTAAGTGCCCAAAGCTGAGCCCTCAAGCAGCTCCCATTCTTCTGGTTAGGTTCTGAAGCCAACTTCAGAAACCTTTAAGGGCAAAACTGCAGGTCCCATTGCACAGAAAAGCAGTACTGGAGAGCGAGTCCAAGACTCCACCCTCAGCCTCAGTACTGGACCCTACTCAGCAGAGAGCAAGGTGCTGACCAAATCCATTTACTCTTGCTCCTGTGCACACAGCTGGACTGCATTTCCCAATGTCTCTTGCAGTTTGATGCGACCATGCAACTTGTTCTTGTCAACAAATACGTGTGGAAGTGATAATTACCATGTGCCGACCTGGCCCATAGTAATCTTTCCCGGGAATTCCTTTGCTTTCAATCTCTCTCTCTCTCTCTTTTTTTTTTTTGTTCTGTCCAATGTTTGGAAGAGAATGTCCACCAGTCTCTCTAGGGGTTGACCAAACAAAGGTCCGTGAATCATTGTGTAAAGGTTGCCTGCTATGTGCCACATGGATAGTTGGATATACAAAAATAAATTTCAATTGTGTAAAATCACTGAGCTTTTGGTATTTATCCATCAGAACAGCGAGCCTTAATTAATACTCTTTATGAGTCCTGTGCCCTTGGAGTTAAGCCACTTTGGACTGAACTTTTCAGAAAGATGGGGATGGCAGTAAAGGGGTGCAATATAGGAGGAGGCTCTGGGTAGAGGGCAGCTTTCAAGGTTGCTGAGGAGGCAGGCATCTTGCAGTAGAGGTATGGAGAATGACAGAGGAAAAGGGTTCTCAGAAGTGGGTGATAGCTCAGCCATGAGTAAAGCTCAGCTGTGGCAAGGCCTCCAGGTAGAGCAAAGCCAATGTCAACAGAAGCTCTGTCTACACAGTGTGCTTCACATAAAGACCTTGTTAATTTGCAGTTTGGCTTTATCTAAGTGTCCCTTTTTGAAATATCTAAGTTTTCATTGAAAGTTGTATCTGCAACTGGAGAAAATTGCAACCTATTTGTGTTAGGCCATTTTTGCATTTCTGTGAAGAAATATTTGAGGCTGGGCAATTTATTAAGAAAAAAGGTTTAACTGGCTCGTGTTCTGAAGGGTGTACAGGAAGCATGGCACCAGCATCTGCTTCTGGTAAGGCCTCAGGAAGCTTACAATCATGGCAGGAGGTGAAGCAGGAGCAGTCATCTCACATGGTGAGAGTGGGAGCAAGAGCAGGGGGAGGTGCCACACACTTAAAACAACCAGGTCTCCGGTGGATACACTCATCACAAAGGGGATGGCACTTAGCCATTCATGAGGGATTTACTTCCATGATCTAAACATGTCCTACAAGACCCCACTTGCAACACTGGGATTATATTTAAACATGAGATTTGGAGGGGACAAATATCCAAACCCTATCACTAATTAAAAAGCAGTGGCAGCTATGATAATTCACTTTTTAGATCTGTGGTGAGGCCTTGCTTCTCAAGGGCTGCTCTCAGCCCGTGGCCAAGTATGGCAGAGAGACTGAGATGAGCCCTTCCTGGGAAATACGGGATCCCTCTTATGGCCAACTTTAGCTTGAGGACTCCTTCAAGTTGTAGATATTTTCTTAGACTGCATGCCAGTCTAGGAAGCTTCCATACACCCTTTCTTCTTTCCTTTCCTCTCTCCTTCCCTCAGGGTCAGATTTGTCTTTTCTCACATCTCCCACAGATGTTTCCCCTAATACGTTTTTTTTTTTGCACATTTAATACATCTTGGTGTCTACTTCTCAGAGAATCTGAACTAACCCAGAGGTCATTCTGTTATTCTAGTCTTTCTGTTTGTGACTGTAAAATGGGACAAATTCTCCTAAATTGTGAGAGATCCTGTGGTCACCTGTATAGTTCCCCAACTAGGTGAAGTTCAGTGATAGACCATGAGTGTTAGCCCTTGAGCAGTTTATAGCATTATAGCAAAGGTGTGGTTACCCAGGCCCCTGTGGTCCATCCAAGAAACTGGACAAGTTGCAAGAGTCACTGGAGACAGAACTTCTTGCTTTTAAACACAAGGATTCATGATGGGGATGACAGAACAAAAATGAATGAACATTTACTAAGATCTAGCTGAGCTGGATGTTTTCCATATGGGATTTCACTGGATTATTAAATGAAAATTCATTTCAGGTAGATATTTTTATCTCAAAGTGGGGATGCGATGCAGAGACAGTAAGTAAGGTGCCCAGCATCACACCCTGGGTAAGCGCAGAGCTGCTATTTGATCTAGTTTCGCCTATCCTATAACTCATCATACTTGTTCTGTTTCACCACATGCCTTTTCAGAGAGCAGTCTTGCAGAGAATTCTTGGAAAAGTACTATTTTTTTTTTTCTACAAAGAAAGATACAAATCTCCTAGTTTCAGAGTCTGTGGAGAGGGTAAGTTCTCCTTCTCTGGTTTGTTGGATTTGTTCCTGCCCCCAACGTCTTCTTTATGTGAAATGTCTCATAATTAAAAAGTGCAGATTCTATACAGACACAGAGTCTTTTCAGTATAGACTACATTTCCAAAAGTGGTTATTATGCATGGATGTGCTTGGAGAATTAGATTTCTGTGGTCTTGACTTTAATTGCCCTGTCTAGATATGTGATTAAGCTTTTGTTCTTTGTTTCAAGATGACCAGTCAATGGAGTTGTGTAGTTTTAATTTTATCTGAAGTGCAGTTGGAGGACAGGCAACAGAGCCTAATGCTTTTTTTCTCCTCTCCTTCTCAGTTACGATGACCATTAGTTCAATATTTTCAGGTCTTATATGAAATAACATCCTGTTATGGCCACATTTTTTAGTCCAATGTGAAGTTTTTAATTTTAAAAAGGTTGGAATATAAAGGGGGTAAGAAAGATTGAATTTTACTTGTGCTTTGACTCCCCCCACCCCCTGCCAGGAGGGCAGAGCATATAAACGTGAAACTTGTGGGAAGTGGAGAAAAACAGTTTAATACAAAATTGTAGGTCCCTGTTTTTGAACATCTGTTACCATGGCAACTGATTCAAATGCTTGAAAGTTAAGTTGCTATTTAGGCAACTTAACTAGATGTTTTTGACAGTATGGGAACTAAATGTAATTTAAAAACAGACACATGTAGATCCCCATTCAGCTGACCTGGCTGACACAGCAGTAAGACATTGGTCTGCGAGATGGACCATCTTCCTGAATACAGTGTACAGGGATGTACAGCATCCCTGATGAACAAACACAGGGCATTATTAGCTTCATCTTTTCTGTACTTTCAAGCCACAGAGGAAGGGCAGACTAGCAATTTTTGGGGTATAAACATGGAAAAAGAAAAGTTAATTTCCAAGAGAAACACAGTGTATACCCTGCCAGTAGCTTCTTTTACTAACTGCCTTAAAAGCTACTTTCTTCCCCCTTGGGAAAATGATACAGAAATTCGGTTATATCTTCATGTTTAGTTCAAATGACAAACTTTCAGAACTATTCCCTTATCATCATATGCTTTAGATTGAAAGTAGAAAAATAAATAAATAAATAAATAATTCCAGTGTTTCAAAGTAACAAAGTCCAAGTTCTGTGAACAGAGTAGTTCTTCAGTATATATTTGTGAACTGAGGAAAGATCACAAAAGGGAGAGGAAACATCATATTCGGGTGGTTTTTTTCTCTCTATTATGCATGGGTTATTTAAGCTTCTTAGAAATTGCATTTTCAGAACAGTGTTTGGATCAAATAATCTTCATGATCCTGATGAAAATTTCAAAGCAGATTATATTATTTTAAAAATCAGACAAAGAAAACATAAAGAACAAATGGCTGCATAAAGGATTTTCCTGGATTGTTTATTAATTTGATTTAGTAAAGTAATACATAAGAAATACCCTTGAATTGGTGGGGAATTTCCAAAAGAAAGAAGATAGATGGGTTCAGAAGGAAGAGGAAAACCACAATGCAGTTTCTAAGGTCTACATATAAGCCTCAACCTTTAAGCAATAGTTGATTTTCATGGAAGTATATAGACAGTACCACATATACAGGCAGACATCAGTGGAAATATTCAATGTTAATTTACTTTATATTTTGCTAATAATTCTTTTATCATGCGTGCTATGTGCTGTTTTCATAATAAGAATGGTAAACAATGAGTTAAAAGATTCCTTTTCCTGGTGCAGCAAATGTGGCAATTCTAGCACACTAAAGCAGGCACAGAAGGTTTTGTATTGACTTTTGACAAATTTTGAGAAGCCAGTTTTACTTCCAGAAAATGTCTTATGTCAAAAGCCTTTATGTTCTAAGGGGCTCTGTTTTAGAGACATAAGTGACAACATCTGAAGTAGACAGGGAAGTGCAGGACAGGTCTCTGGATGGACCTTGGTGACCCAGCTTTTTCCCCCTTTCTTGCTTACAGTTCTCAAGAATAACTGCAGAATGTGCTGGAAATGCAACATTCTGAGATAAAGAGGAACTGGTTGGGCTTCATTTCTGTCCCTCCCACCACAGAATGACCTACAATGCTTTAGCCCAGTGAGTGCAATTGCCCCGGGATATAAAACCCAAGGTATTGGGTTTTCAGGTTTCCTTAGCTGCAGTGAGATGTGGGGTATTTGCAGACAAGACTCCATCCACCCTCAGAAACTTTCCTGAGACTTGGGGGATCAGCTTGCCGTAAATCCTGTGCTTCTATTGTTCCCTGCTGCCTATGTATGAGTAATGAAGTTGCTTCCCTTAACTTGTTCTGTGAGAGTTCTGTGTCATGGAACTCAAGCAGGAGATAGAGTAATTGGTGCATGGTGAATCTGATTCTCAGGAAGAATATGTAGGCCTGAGATTCTTAGTAAGTGAAATTTATCCTTGGTAGAGCAAAAAGGAATATTGTATAAGTGGTTGTTTTGAGTAGAAAACAAGCAAATGTTTTAGAAATCTCTAATATATCTCAGAAATACTTATTCTAAGCCTGGCAGCATAAAAATTAATAAAGAAGTTCATTTGTTTCTTCTTCTCCTGCTCTCTAAGAAGAGAAAAGGACAAAAAGATGCATCAGTTTATTCTTAAGGTAAAATCGATGAAAGTAGAAGAGGAACCTCACACCCCCAGGGATCTTGTGGTACAGTGATAAGACTTCTTGGGCAGTGTTGAGAGGAGCAGAGAGGAAGTGGTGACCAAGATGGTGATGTCAAACCAGGATGCATAAGAGTTTATTTGAGGTAGAAGAACAAAACAAACCTAAGAGATCAGAGAATGAAATTTTTAATGAACATTGCTTTGGACCACGTTTTTCAGCCCCATTAAAACTTGGAGAGTGTTATAAAGATAGACATTTCTGCTTTTATCACCCTTCTTTAAAAAACAGCATCACTCCAGAACTGGAATACAAGAGCCATGGCTTTACAAACTTTATACAAATCTCAGATTAATTCAATTGAACAAACATTTGAAAGCGTGGGAGATTGCAGCACATCCTCAGTTGCAGCATCATCTTGAATAGAAGTCTCCATGGCTTCCTTTTACATTGACTCTCTATATAGCCACTTTGCTATATAATCTGAAGGCTCTAAAGTTGAGAAAGACAGAGTTCTTTCCTCTGAGAGGTAGTAACATAGTAGAAAGACTTACATGTTATCAGGTATGCTACTACTATTACTAATAACTTATATTCAAGTGCTGTGCTAACTGCTTTACATGTGTTAACTCATTTAATCTTCACGAAAACCTATGAAGTAAAGTAACTCATTGTATCCTCATTTAGGGAATAGAAAGTGAATAACTAAAAGGTGAAGGCACTGGCTAAAAGTCACTTACCTAGTAAGATATAATGCTGGGTAAATATATACAGGAGTGTGAGACACGTGCTGTTCAAAGTCTCAAGATTGTTGTGACATGCTGTGAACACAAAGAAGAAAAGCTATGAATCCTAACTGGATAGGAATTATCAGTGGAAACAAAGATGGAATGAAATAAACCAAGAAACAAGCTGATGATTTTGGCAACTGGGCAGTTTTTGATGACATTTAAGACAAGTTTCAGCAAGACAGTAGAAGCAGAAACCAACATCCAATGGGCTAGGGATAGAATTGTGAAGTAACTTTCAGCAACTCTTATGAAGTCTGGTGATGATAAGAAGGAAAGAACTGGTGACAGAAACCTGAGGAAAAAGTAGATAAGGTCTTTTTTGGATACAGAAATTTGAATATATTTTTGGCTGGTGGGAATAGGGAAGATGGAAATATCACAAATAAAAAGAGAAATAGGATGCTTTCCAAGATGTATTACATAGTTTCCTGTCTTTTTCAGTAGAATATAAGAAAGATTTAAAACATCTTTCTTAATGACTTAAGATTATTATCATGAATTTTGATTAGTATTCCCTGTTCTAATTCTGAAATGAGGTTTTCAAGTCCTGTTGAAACTCCAGTTTAGTGAAATTCTGGCATTCCTAGGAAAGCTGTGGTGGCTTGTGTTTTAAGAAGAACTGAGCACAAACTATAGACTTCCTCTCCTGAAATAAATGCCTAGAAATTTAAGAAACAATATAAATATGTAACCATCTTCAAAAATAAGGAGAATAAATTATAGAGGACCAGAGCAGGGAAGAATTCTAAAAAGAAGCAAAGCATATGGGATCAGATTAAGGAAACTATAGCTCAGGACCTTGTACGATGGACTGTGGCTACAAAAGGTGAGTGCATGGTTGATGGTAGGGTGGTTAGATGAGATATCACAGTAACAATTATCCAGGTGTTTAAAATTGGTGTTTTCTCTCTTTTTATTGGGTCTGTCCTGCCTCTAAGTGCTTATGTTGAGTAAAGGAGTTTTGTTAGAGAGACAAGGTGGTGAACAAGACAGAAGAAAGAAGCTATATGTTTAAGAGATAAGCCATTGTGTGGAACAAGTACAGAAAGTAATTTAACAGGAAATCTGATTTATTAAGTTGAGTGAAAAAATCAAAAGTCACTCAATATTGGAAAAAAATTGCAATCAAGAAGAGGAGTTTAAAAGCTTAATGAATATTAGAAGAATTTACATCCGAGGAAACAGCGAATAAAGCCATGACAGCAAGGCTTTACAACGTATATAATTAATATTATTAGGGAAATAAGGAGCAAAAGGTTATTAGGGAGAGATAAAGATAAGAGCAGAAATTAATGACATAGAAAATAAACAGAAAAGCTCATTAAACCAAAAGTTAGATTTTTGAAAAGATGAATACAACAACAAAAACTTTGCCAAAGTTGATAAAAAATAGAAACAAGGAAAGAATAAATGAAAGACTGAAGGTGCAAGCAAATAATATTATGAATGAAAAATAAGACATAATTACAGACACAGAGATGAGTATGACAAAGATGTATTAAAACTTTATGTTAATAAATTTGAAAACTGGTAGAATGAAAAAATTCTAGAATAATATAACGTTAAAAACCTCTTATATAAATATAACTTTATATAAACCTTTATATAAGATAAATAATAATCTAAGAAGAAATAGAAAACCTGCATAGTCATTAAAGAAATAAAATTAATGCTTTAATAAGTCCATTAACAGGGAGTTAACACTTCTTTTATGGGAGAGTTATACTGTGCATTGAGAGAATTGATTATTCTAGTCCTAGGCAAACTTCTCCAGAAAATTTAGAATTATCAAATTGATTGCAAAAAAATTTCCTTTTCTTTTTTTTTTTGATATACTATAAGTTCTAGGGTACATGTGCACGACATGCAAGTTTGTTACATATGTATACATGTGCCATGTTGGTGTGCTGCACCCATTAACTCGTCATTTACATTAGGTATATCTCCTAATGCTATCCCTCCCCGCTCCCCCCACCCCATGACAGGCCCCAGTGTGTGATGTTCCTCTTCCTGTGTCCAAGTGTTCTCATTGTTCAATTCCCACCTATGAGTGAGAACATTTGGTGTTTGGTTTTTTGTCCTTGTGAGAGTTTGCTGAGAATGATGGTTTCCAGCTTCATCCATGTCCCTGCAAAGGACATGAACTCATCCTTTTTTATGGCTGCATAGTATTCCATGGTATATATGTGCCACATTTTCTTAATCCAGTCTATCATTGATGGACATTTGGGTTGGTTCCAAGTCTTTGCTATTGTGAATAGTGCTGCAATAAACATACATGTACATGTGTCTTTATAGTAGCATGATTTATAACCCTTTGGGTATATACCCAGTAATGGGGTGGAAAATATTTCCTTTTCTAATTGTTCATTCCTTCCTAAATCTATGCCATTTGCCATATGACTTTGTAGCTTCTCCTATCGAGAGGTGGAATCTATTTCCTTAATTCTTGCATCTGACTCAGTTTTATGATTTATGTGATTTACGATTTTATGTGATTTATGATTTTATGTGATTAGAATGTGGTGGAAGTGATGGTGTGCTAGTGGTCAGCCTGTGCCTCCAGAGCTCTTTCATGCTTCCATGCTTTTGGAATCCTGACACCATCATGCAAACAACCCCAGGCTAGCCTATTAGATGTGAAAAACCTGTAATCCAGTCATCCCTGCCACTTCAGCCCATAGCCAAACAACTGCTGGTCAGGCGAGTAAGGACATCCTAGATGATCTGGTCCTCAGCTGATTTATCTGTTAAGCACAGACCTATCAGTGAGCTTGGATAAGTTTGGCTTCATCTGGCCTAAATCAACAGAAATTCTCAGTGGACCCATGAACTCCCGAGCAATAATAAAGGCTTATTGTTTTAAGTCATTGCGTTTTAGGGTGGTTTGTTACATAGCCATAGTCACCTGATGGAAAAATTGGTACCTAGAAATTGAGTGCTGTTATAACAAAAACCTAAAGTATGTAATATTGGTTTTGGAACTGGGCTACAAGCAGAGGCTGGGAAAATGGCAAGCAAACTGGCTGCAAAACCTGGAAAAGTGGTGATAACATTGTTATTGGAGGCTGGATAAGGGTCACATATGCTATGTAATAAAGCAACTGGCAATACTATTGCCTGAATTAACTTTCCTAAGGGGAAAATAGACCCAACAAATGTTTGGGTTTGGCTAAGTTTGTTTCCAGGCAGAATGTTGGAGAGTCAGCTGATTGCCCCAAACTGTAGATAATATGCTATGGCAAGAAATACATGAGTTTAAGAAAGAACTGGCCAGTTTGCAAGCATAATTTATAGGGCACATAAAGAGACCAGAATTGGCTGGGTTAGAAAATAAAATGGGCTGGGTGCAGCAGCTCATGCCTGTTATTCCAGCACTTTGGGAGGGTGCGGTGCTAGGATCCCTTGAACCCAGGAGCAGAAGACTAGCCTTGGGAACGTAGACAGACCTGTCTCTACAAAAAATAAAAAATAGGTGGGCACACTTGTGGTCACAGCTACTTGGGAGGCTGAGGTGGGAGCATTGCTTGAGGCTAGGAGGTTGAGGCTGTAGTGAGCTATGATTGTGCTTCTGCGCTCCAGCCTGGGCAACAGAGTGAGACCCTGTCTCAAATAAATAAACAAATAAATAAATAAAATGAAAGAAAAGAAAAAGAAAATAGAAAATATTGTCTCCATTTGGCAAATGGTATTTAAAATAAAATGGAACCTGGAGGCATAGATAAATTTGAAGTTGTGCTCAACTATTTGTTGAGACCTCAGCATTGCGGTGTCCTACAGCAGTCTGACACACCCAAAGTGACAATGATATAGAGAGAGGAAGAGGGAGATGTCTTGAAAACAACTGTGCGTATAATTTTCAGCAAATACATTTAAATGGAATCAGATGTATAAAAGGTCCAGGAAGTTCTTAAGTGAGTTGTATGAAAAAAGCTTTATCAACCTGAAATTGAATAGTCTGAGATTGGTAAAATTCCAAAATGGCCTCTGGGCCCCCAACTTTCTATGGACTGAAAGCAGGCTGAGAAACTTACTCAGCTGCCAGTGCAATCTACTTTTATTTCAAGAAACCTAGGCTGTGATGAAAAAGGAATCACATCTCAAAGGACAGAGCCAAGATTCATGGTAGAACCAGTGGGTGGAGCAAAAAACCATGAAGAACAGCAGATTGGGAGCCACTCCTGGAGAGTAAAACTGGAGTCTAATTAAGGACACCTTCTTAGGGGAGACCGTGGGGTTGACCTGGCAACAATTGCTCAGTAAGATTTTAGAATTGCTGTGGAACAATGCTGTGAATGCATCAATAGATAACTGATGCACTGCCCCTTCACCTCAAATTATTTGTCATGCAAGGATAATCTTGATATCAAAACCAATGAAAGAAAACATGAGAGAAAAGTTATAGAACAATTTCATGAACACTGATAGAAAATACTGATCCAAAATATTAGTAAATAAATCAAGAACACCAAGTTTATCCCAGTAAAGCAAGAGGAGATTAACATTAGAAAATCAATTAGTACATAATCTTGATATCAAAAATTAAAAGGACAGTGCAGAAAAGGAAAGTTATAGGCAATTTCACTGGTGGACATTGATGCAAAAATCCTAAACACAAATCTAGTAAACCAAATCTATCATGTTAAGTTTATCTTAGGGATGCAAGGGCAGATTAACATGAAGAAATCAATTCATTTACCACACTAATAGATTAAGGTAGAAATCTAAATCTAAGGTGAAAACCTAAACCTAATATATTTAATCTAAATACCTAATCAATATATACAATTAATTCCAGTTCATATAACAGCAAGAAACAGAAAATTCAATAATACAAGATATCATTTACAAAACCTAAAAAATTAAAAGATATAACTTTTATGCAAAAATTATAAAACCTTATATTAAGATACATTAAATAAAATTTAAAAAGTAGAAAAAATAAAATATATTTATATTTGAAGACTTACTATTATAAAGATGGTCATTCTTCCCATTAATTTTAGAGTTCGTGCATTTTCACTTGAGTGAATGCTTTTTTTTTTTTTTCAAATGGAACTAGAAAAAAATTCTAAAGTTTAGATGGGAGAACAAAAAGTCAGGAATGACCAGGATACTCCTGAAGAAAAATAAATTAGGGGAGGGAGAATTGCCTTATTAGATATCAAGAATTGTTATAAATAGGTAGCAATTAAAACACGATTATAGAGAAATAGCCCAATGGAATGGAAGAAAGAGCCATGAATATGGAAACTTGACATCTCACAGAGCTGGTATTACACACCAAAACATATTATTATCTTATTTTTTTCAAGTGCTTAATAAGTGATTGTTATCATGTCTATTTTTTAAATTTATTTTTTATTTCAATATGTTTTTGGGGAACAGGGGGTGTTTGGTTACATGAATAAGTTCTTTAGTGGTGATTTCTGAGATTTTGGTGCATCCATCACACAAGTGGTATACACTGTACTCTATGTGTAGTCTTTTATCCCTCACCCCTCTCCCAACCTTCCCCCCAAGTCCCCAAAGTCCATTGTATCATTCTTATGCCTTTGTGTCCTGATAGCTTAGCTCCCAATTATGATTGAGAACATACAATGTTTGGTTTTTCCATTCCTGAGTTACTTCACTTAGAATAATAGTCTCTGATTCCATCCAGGTTTCTGCAAATGCCATTATTTTTTTCCTTTTTATGGTTGCGTAGTATTCCATGGTGTCTGTCTATCTATCTATCTATCTATCTATCTATCTATCTATCTATCTATCTATCATATTTTCTTTATCCACTCATTGATTGATGGGCATTTGGGCTGCTTCTGTATTTTTGCAATTGCAAATTGTGCTGCTATAAACATGTGTGTGCAAGTATCTTTTTCATATAATGACTTATTTTCCTCTGGGTAGGCACCTAGTAGTGGGATTGCTGGATCAAATGGTAGATCTAGTTTTAGTTCTTTAAGGAATCTCCACACTGTGTTGTATACTGTGGTTGTACTATTAATAGTTTACATTCCCACCAACAGTGTAAAAGTGTTCTCTTTTTACCACATCCACACCAACATCTATTTTTTTTTTAATTTTTTCATTATGGCCATTCATGCAGGAGTGAGGTGGTATCGCATTGTGATTTTGATCTGCATTTCCCTGATAATTAGTGATGTTGAGCATTTTTCTATATGCTTGTTGGCCAATTGTATATCTTCTTTTGAGAACTGTCTGTTCATGTCGTTATCCCACATTTTGATGAGATCGTGTTTTCTTGCTGATTTATTTGAGTTCTTTGTAGATTCTGGATATTAGTCCTTTGTCACATGTATGGATTGTGAAGATTTTCTCTCACTCTGTGGGTTTTCTCTTAACTCTGCTGATTATTTCTTTTGCTCTGCAGAAGCTTTTTAGTTTAAGCCCCATGTATTTATCTTTGTTTTTGTTGCATTTGCTTTTGCGTTCTTGGTCATGAAGTCTTTGTCTAAGCCAATGTCTAGAAGGATTTTTCCAATGTTGTCTTCTAGAATCTTTATGGTTTCAGGTCTTAGATTTAAGTCTTTGACCCATCTTGAGTTGATTTTTGTATAAGGTAAGAGGTGGGGATCCAGTTTCATTCTTCTATATGTGGCTTGCCAATTATCCCAGCACCATTTGTTGAATAGGGTATCCTTTCCCGACTTCATGTTTTTGTTTGCTTTGTTGAAGGTCAGTTGGCTATAAGCATTTGGCTTTATCTCTGGGTTTTCTATTCTGTTCCATTGGTCTGTGTGCCTATTTTTATACCAGTCATGCTGTTTTGGTGACTGTGGCATTATAGTATAGTTTGACGTTGGGTAATGTGATGCCTCCAGATTTGTCCTTTTTGCTTAGTCTTGCTTTGTCTATGTGGGCTCTTTTTTGGTTCCACATGAATTATAATATTGTTTTTTTCTAGTTCTGTGAAGAATGATGGTAGTATTTTGATGGGAATTGCATTGAATTTGTGATTGCTTTTGGCAGTATGGTCGTTTTCACAATATTGATTCTACTCATCCATGAGCATGGGATGTGCTCCCATTTGTTGGTGTCATCTATGATTTTTTCAGCAGCGTTTTGTAGTTTTCCTTATACAGGTCTTTCACCTCCTTGATTAGGTATATTCCTAAGCATTTTATTATTTTTTTTGCAGCTGTTGTAAAAGGGGTTGAGTTCTTGATTTGATTCTCAGCTTGGTCACTGTTGGTGTATAGCAGAGCTACTCATTTGTGTACATGAATTTTGTATTCTGAAATTTTGCTGAATTCATTTGCCAGTTTTAAGAGCTTTTTGGATGGTTCTTTAGGATTTTCTAGGTGTATGATTATATCATCAGCAAACAGTGACAGTTTGACTTCCTTTTTACCAGTTTGGATGCCCTCGATTTCTTTTTGTTGTCTGATTTCTCTGGCTAGGACTTCTAGTACTATGTTGAATAGAAGTGGTGAGTGGACAATCCTTGTCTTGTTCCGATTCTCAGGGGAAATGCTTTCAATTTTTCCTCATTCAGTATAATGTTGGCTGTGGGTTTGTCATAGATGGCTTTTATTACCTTACCTTCCATCTTGATTTCATTGTTGACCCAGTGATCATTCAGGAGCAGGTTATTTAATTTCCATGCATTAGCATGATTTTGAGGATTCCTTTTGGAGTTGATTTCCAATTTTATTCCACTGTGGTCTGAGAGAGTACTCTATATAATTTTGATTTTCTTAAATTTACTGAGACTTTTTTGTGCCCTATCACATGGTCTATCTTGGAGAATGTTCCATGTGCTGATGACCAGAATGTATATTCTGCAGTTGTTGCATAGAATGTTCTGCAAATATCTGTTAAGTCCATTTGTTCTAGGGTATAGTTTAAGTCCATTGTTTCTTTGTTGACTTTCTGTCTTGATGACATGTCTAATGCTGTCAATGGAGTATTAAAGTCTCCCACTATTGTTGTGTTGCCATCTATCTCATTTCTTAGGCCTAGTAGTAATTGTTTTATAAATTTAGGAACTCCAATGTTACGTGCATATGTATTTAGGATTGTGATATTTTCCTGTTGGACTAGTCCTTTTATCATTGTATAATGTCCCTCTTTGTCTTTTTAAACTGTTGTTGCTTTAAAGTCTGTTTTTTTCTGATATAAGAATAACCACTTCTGCTCACTTTTGGTGTCCATTTGCATGGATATCTTTCTCCACCCCTTTACCTTAAGTTTATGTGAGTCCTTATGTTTTAGTTGAGTCTCCTGAAGACAGCAGAAACTTGGTTGATGAAATCTTATCACTTCTTCCATTCCATATCTTTTAAGTGGAGCATTTAGGCTATTTACATTCAATGTAAGTATTGAGATGTGAGGTACTATTCTATTCATTATGCTATTTGTTGCCTGAATACCTTTTTTAAAATTGTGTTATTGTTATATAGGTCCTGTGAGATTTATGCTTTAAGGAGGTTCTATTTTGGTGTATTTCAAGGATTTGTTTCGAGATTTAGAGTTCCTTTTAGTGGTTTGTAGTGCTGGTTTGTTATTGGTGAATTCTCTCAGCATTTGTTTGTCTGGAAGACTGTATCTTTTTTTCATTTATGAAGCTTAGTTTCACTGGATTCAAAATTCTTTGCTGATAATTGCTTTGTTTAAGGAGGCTAAAAATAGGACCCCAATCCCTTCTAGCTCGTAGGGTTTCTGCTGAGAAATATGCTGTTGCTCTGATAGGTTTTTCTTTATACCAAATCATATTAGAGAGCTGGCATAATATGTAAATTGCTTAGAACTGTGACTGGCATGTAGTAAACAGTGTATAAAGTTAGCTGCTATTGTTATTGTTATTAGTACTATTACCATTACCATAGATTGGTGATGAAACTATGGACTTATCTGTAAATGGTGCTATCCCATTGAAAAAAAGGAAGTTGACTTTCGCCTCTTGCCATATACAAAAACCAATTCAAGAGCAATAAGAGACTTAAATAAAAATGACAAATCTCTAACATTTATAAAAGACAATATAGAAGAACATCTTCATGACCTTAAATGAGGGAAGATTTTCAAAAACAAGACCCAAAGAGTACTAACTATAAAGAAAGGTCTTGATAAGTATAGTACTTAAAGAATTGATTCCATTCGTTTAAGCATCATAAGGAAAACAAAATAATGGGAAAGCTCCAAATGGGAGAGAGTATTTGCAATACATATAATCCAGAAAGAATATCTAGGGCACATAAATAACTCTTTATAAAAAAAGCAAACCACAACAGGAAAATGAGAAAGGACTTGCACAAGCATTTTACAGAATAACCTATGCTGATGGCCAGTCAGCAAGTGAAGATACTTGTTCTCATTAGTAAATCAAGGAAATGCAAATTAAATTCAAAATGAGATAGCAGCAGGCACACCAAAAACCCCCCAAAAACCCAAAAAAGAGTAAATGGAATGTTGGTGAGGACATGGAACAATTAGAACCAGTACAAATTTGTACAACTAGTTGGAGAAACAATTTGATATTATATGGTATTGAGTTGAAAAAACTGTTTTTCCTCTGCTCTCACACCACAACAATCAACACAGACAAAACGTGGGATTTTTCCCCACCAACAAACAAGCAATCAGTTCTGCAGTGGACACCAGCTGGGTTTCCTCCAATTCAATTCTGACATCATCTACCTGGAGACAGTGTCAGATCCCACAGGTTGAGGGAGAAGAGAATGATAAGGAACAAACTCACATAGCGTCTACCCCTGAGAGACGGTATGGGGGATGAGTACAGATTGGCAAGCAGTACACAGGAAGTATCAACATGATTCGTAACAGTTTTTTTATACTTTGGATTGTGGGTTCATGTATGTTTATGTTTATGGTTTATTACTTATGGATATCTACGTATGTTCTTTTTTATAATCAAGTATTTTATATTTAAAATATCAAAAATATATTTAAGAAGTAGAAGAAATATATCAAAGCTTGTATAGCAATATTAATTTAAGGTAAAATAGATTTCAATGCAAAAGACATTTAAAGAAAAGAAGAAAGGGGAAATATGATATTGATAAAAGGATTAATTACTAAAGAAGGTATGACAGTCAACATAACTTTGATGTATACATCAAAAACTTATAAAGAAGAAGAGAACTTGCTTATTTGTGCAAGTATATGTACAATCTTATATGGAGAAACTAATTCAAATTCTAGTTAAGTTTTCAAGACACATCTTTCAGAAACAAATGAATCAATTAGACAAACATGAGTATGGCCACAGAAGATAGAACTAACACAATTTGCAGGTACATACTTACACATGTGACTGTGTGCAAATACAAATACAAATGGAGAATAACATTATTTAAAAATATGCTTGAAAAGTTTTACCAAGTTAACTCATACTAGACAGAAAGGATATTTTAATGCATTTCAAAAAGTCGGTATTATATAAGCCACATTGATGACAGAATTATACAATAAATGATGTTTAAAATGCTTCTAATTTTACTTTAAATTTTTATTTAGAAGTTACAAACTAAGAACTAAAAAATAACAGAAGAAAGCCCTTTGTATTAGAACCTGTGAAACCCATGAATCCCACGTGGGGCTCAGGGAAAAATGTAGACCTTTACATGTATTTTATTTAGAAACAACAAATAGTATAAAAATGAACTAAGCTTTCAACTTAAGAAGCTAGCAAATTAATAACAAAGTTGGCATTAATAATTATAATTAGTAAAGATAACATAAATTATTAAAATGGGTAACAAACAGCAAAGTTGATCCATAAAACCAAAAATTAATTTTTGTAAAAAACAATAAAATAAAACTTTGGCATATATAACCAAAGAAAAGGAGACAAATGGCACAGGTAAAGAATTTTTATTTGACATTGATGATAAATACAGGTTTTAGAAACATTAAAATGTTAAAAAAATGTGCAACATGAAATCTGGAAATAGCTAATTAAAATTTCAGTTTTACGTTTCGAGGACTTAGTGTCACCCATCCAATTTGATATCATCTATAAAGTGCTTAGTCTCTTTCTCTTTCTATGCCTTGAAGAAAATAAGCTTATGTCTGATCTCAACTCAACATGACTTCTTGCACAGCCTTTTTCTACCCTTTATGGTATGTGCCAACCCTGCTCAGCTGGCTAAACTCAGTGGAGAAAAACACTGCCAAGCAGAGGTTTCAAATGAATGACTTCAACATTTAATTACAGATATGTTTTGTTTGACCTGCAGAGAATTTTTAATTTTTTGAATTATTGCTAATTGAAAAAATGAAGAGATTTCACCTAAAAATTTATATTTTTGGCATGGCAAAAATCAGAATTGCTGAGGGTTAGATGAGGCTTGTGCTCTTCCATTCACAATAGTCTCCAATGGGGAGTTTGGAGTGAGAGTCCTGGGATTTAATCTCATCTCTGCCACCCACTAGCAGATTGTCTCAGAAAAGTTACCTAAACTCTAGAGTGCACTAATTTTCCTTATTTGCAACATGGAGGAAACATCAGGCTTAGAAGGTCACTGGATATTGACCAAGATAATGAACATAAAAATATCTGGCAGAGTTCTGGGCCACTGGTTGAGGGCTCATTCTGTATCAGTTTCCTCTTCTGCCTTTGTTGTTCTTCTCTACAACATAAAATTTCTGGCACTTGTTAGTCGTAGAAAAGCAATAAAATTATCTTGACAAAATATTCAGCAATAATTAACATTCTCTGTGTAGGTGTTTGAAAAGATGAAACTTGTGCTGTTTGATTTCAGTTTATTCTAATATATAGAAGTTACTAGCCATGCACCTCCTTACTAGCCTGAAACTCAAGACTTCAGTTCCTTTTTTTCCCGTCTTCCATGTGGTAACTTTCTCCATTTGACTGTAAGCTGCTTAGAGCACCTGCCGTGTTTACTACTTAGTTCTCAGAATGTAGGGCAAAACCTAGTGTCTAATAGGCATTAAATAAAATAAATATTTGTTGAATGAATGATTGAGAATGTATAATTTCCAAGGTTATTTCCCTTTTAAACAGTTTGAAAAATTAATTTTTTTTACTCTTTAATACATATATTCTTTCATTCATTTACTCTTTTCTTTTTAAAAAGATCTATGTATGATACATGGAAAGCATGTAGTGCAGTGTCTGACACATAGAAAGCGCTTAATGTATTATTTGTTAATTTAAGAGTTTTATTATCTACATTGTTCTGATCATAAAGCCCTGAGATTTGGTGATTTGTTGAAAAATGATAATGCAGTGTATATCAGGATGGGAATAAAAGAGGCTATGCCAGGATGTACAGGGAACTGGCAGAATGGAGTGCTGATTTAGATTGCAGCAGGAAGGTGCAATGATAGAATAGGCTAAGGCCCCATTTGTGAGGTTGGAATGTCAATGATAGGGCTTTGCAAGGGAAGCCTCCTTGTCTTCAGCCTGCGAAGATCTTAGGTACCCAAACCAGCAACCTGTTGTTGACTTGCACATCTGTGCTGTCCAGTGCATGCAAACGTCATTGTTCACAGAACTGTCATCCCCGTAAGATTGTGAGATCAAAAAGTAGATGTGAGATCATCAATCGTATCGCTCCTTGCTTTTGTGAAGAAATAACAGCCATGCATGAACATTAGTTATGGTTAGTTGCTGACATTATCTCATTATAAATATCTAGAGAAATGTATGTATGTCAGATTTCATAATGTGGAATTTCAGACTTTATTTACTTATTTATTTTTGAGATGGAGCCTTTCTCTGCCACTCAGGCTGGAGTGCAGTGGTGTGATCATAGCTCACTGTAACTTTAAACTCCTGGGCTCAAGTGATCCTCCCACTTCAGCCTCCTGAGTAGCTGGGACTACAGGTGCACACCACCAAGCCTAGCTAATTTTTAAATTTTTTTGTAGAGATGAGGTCTCACTATGTTGACCAGGCTGGTCTTGAATGCCTGGCCTCAATCTGTACTTCAGCCTTGACTTCCCAAAATGTTGGGATTACAGAGATGAGCCACCATGCTGGGGCTAGATTTTTGATTTCTAAGAGAAAATAATTTGTCTTTAATGATTGAGTTTTCTTTAAACTGGATTCACACTTCCCCTTTTCTCAAGAGAAGTTTCTGTCATTTGAGAACACATTTCCTGTTTTCACATTTGCTCATCTGAATATGATGCCAGACCTGAGAGAGAAAGGATGTTGTTCTGCACATCTTGAAGACAGCTTGCTTTCTATTGTCCCCAGTCCTCAGCTCACCACTGCTGCTTTTGAGGACTCTCCCTTTGTGGGCTTCAGTCATTCAAACCTGACTCCATTAGGTGCTGCTCATTGCCTTGGAGGCTGCTGCTCCTGTGTGTCAGATCCACAGAGATATCCGAGTTCAGAAATGAGTGGAAAAATACCCATGGTGGGCAGGAAGAGGTGAGAAATTTTTGGTTATGTGAGGAAGGCATTTCTTAAAATAGGCCAGTTTGAAATTGTTACTTAGTTTTCCTTTTAATGATCAGTTTCAGTTTGAAGGTTTTATATCGACAGGAAAAAAATATTTCAACCATTTTTGCAAAATTTGGCCAAAAGGCTTGAACTTGTATTAGTATTACCAGTGGCATTAAATCATGAGATTATTTGGTAAAATGTAAATTTCCTCCCCCTTCTCTGTCCAGTAGTCTAGGAAATAAACTTTCTAATATGCTTGGGTTGGGGAAGGGTGCCTCAAACCTCATGGGCTGTTTGGAAAATATAATACTTAGGAGTCCAACTAGGGAGGAAACAATATTTGCTTTTTGACAGAGTAAAGTTGGTGCTTATCAATTAAAAATGATGCTGGCCATAGGTAGTTAACTGTTTGCTAGGTAAATGAAAAGTAGTTTATTTTTTAAAAATAATTATGGCATGTGTTAATATTCCCAAATTCAAACATAGCAGAAATATAGTAAGATTTCACCCATTATTAGCTTGAAGCAATTCTTGTGTACTCTGTGGTTATATGCAAACTTAATAGATGCTAAGTGTAAAAGAAAGGTTCCATGGTCAGAGGTTGAGAAATGATTGGTGAAGGAATTTAAACACTTTTTTTTTCACTGTAGAACTTGGCCTAAGCTACTGTACATTGTAATTCTCCAAGAGGGGAGCCACGGTGTGGTGTTGTACCTCATTTGAAATGGAGTTAGGCCAATCTGGGTTTTAATTCTGTGCCACTCTTGACAAATCACATAACATCTTTGAGTTCTGGTTTATCTGCAAAATGGGTCTAAAAGCACATATCTCATGGATTTGTAGTGCACATAAAACACTCAACAAGACTATTTGCATAATAACAAATGTTAATTTAAAATTTATGCGTCTATTTTGCTTTCTTGAAGTTAGGGGTCTATGGTGAAGTACCCACTTGCACCAGAGTAGGAGTTTCTTTTTTTTTTTTTTTTTTTTTTGGTATCTGTGAGGCTTTTATTTATTTATTTTATTTTATTTTATTTTTTTATTATACTTTAAGTTTTAGCGTACATGTGCACATTGTGCAGGTTAGTTACATATGTATACATGTGCCATGCTGGTGTGCTGCACCCACTAACTCGTCATCTAGCATTAGGTATATCTCCCAATGCTATCCCTCCCCCCTCCCCCGACCCCACCACAGTCCCCAGCGTGTGATATTCCTCTTCCTGTGTCCATGTGATCTCATTGTTCAGTTCCCACCTATGAGTGAGAATATGCAGTGTTTGGTTTTTTGTTCTTGCGATAGTTTACTGAGAATGATGATTTCCAATTTCATCCATGTCCCTACAAAGGACATGAACTCATCATTTTTTATGGCTGCATAGTATTCCATGGTGTATATGTGCCACATTTTCTTAATCCAGTCTATCATTATTGGACATTTGGGTTGGTTCCAAGTCTTTGCTATTGTGAATAATGCCACAATAAACATACGTGTGCATGTGTCTTTATAGCAGCATGATTTATAGTCCTTTGGGTATATACCCAGTAATGGGATGGCTGGGTCAAATGGTATTTCTAGTTTTAGATCCCTGAGGAATCGCCACACTGACTTCCACAATGGTTGAACTAGTTTACAGTCCCACCAACAGTGTAAAAGTGTTCCTATTTCTCCACATCCTCTCCAGCATCTGTTGTTTCCTGACTTTTTAATGATTGCCACTCTAACTGGTGTGAGATGGTATCTCATTCTGGTTTTGATTTGCATTTCTCTGATGGCCAGTGATGATGAGCATTTTTTCATGTGTTTTTTGGCTGCATAAATGTCTTCTTTTGAGAAGTGTCTGTTCATGTCCTTCGCCCACTTTTTGATGGGGTTGTTTGTTTTTTTCTTGTAAATTTGTTGGAGTTCATTGTAGATTCTGGATATTAGCTCTTTGTCAGATGAGTAGGTTGCGAAAATTTTCTCCCATTTTGTAGGGTGCCTGTTCACTCTGATGGTAGTTTCTTTTGCTGTGCAGAAGCTCTTTAGTTTAATTAGATCCCATTTGTCAATTTTGTCTTTTGTTGCCATTGCTTTTGGTGTTTCGGACATGAAGTCCTTGCCCATGCCTATGTCCTGAATGGTAATGCCTAGGTTTTCTTCTAGGGTTTTATGGTTTTATGTCTAACGTTTAAGTCTTTAATCCATCTTGAATTGATTTTTGTATAAGGTGTAAGGAAGGGATCCAGTTTCAGCTTTCTACATATGGCTAGCCAGTTTTCCCAGCACCATTTATTAAATAGGGAATCCTTTCCCCATTTCTTGTTTTTCTCAGGTTTGTCAAAGATCAGATAGTTGTAGATATGCTGCATTATTTCTGAGGGCTCTGTTCTGTTCCATTGATCTATATCTCTGTTTTGGTACCAGTACCATGCTGTTTTGGTTACTGTAGCCTTGTAGTATAGTTTGAAGTCAGGTAGTGTGATGCCTCCAGCTTTGTTCTTTTGCCTTATGATTGCCTTGGCGATGCGGGCTCTTTTTTGGTTCCATATGAACTTTAAAGTAGTTTTTTCCAATTCTGTGAAGAAAGTCATTGGTAGCTTGATGGGGATGGCATTGAATCTGTAAATTACCTTGGGTGGTATGGCCATTTTCACGATATTGATTCTTCCTACCCATGAGCATGGAATGTTCTTCCATTTGTTTGTATCCTCTTTGATTTCCTTGAGCAGTGGTTTGTAGTTCTCCTTGAAGAGGTCCTTCACATCCCTTGTAAGTTGGATTCCTAGGTATTTTATTCTCTTTGAAGCAACTGTGAATGGGAGTTCACTCATGATTTGGCTCTCTGTTTGTCTGTTGTTGGTGTATAAGAATGCTTGTGATTTTTGTACATTGATTTTGTATCCTGAGACTTTGCTGAAGTTGCTTATCAGCTTAAGGAGATTTTGGGCTGAGACAATGAGGTTTTCCAGATACACAATCATGTCATCTGCAAACAGGGACAATTTGACTTCCTCTTTTCCTAATTGAATACCCTTTATTTCTTTCTCCTGCCTGATTGCCCTGGCCAGAACTTCCAACACTGTGTTGAATAGGAGTGGTGAGAGAGGGCATCCCTGTTTTGTGCCAGTTTTCAAAGGGAATGCTTCCAGTTTTTGCCCATTCAGTATGATATTGGCTGTGGGTTTGTCATAAATAGCTCTTATTATTTTGAGATATGTCCTATCAATATCTAATTTATTGAGAGTTTTTAGCATGAAGGGTTGTTGAATTTTGTCACAGGCCTTTTCTGCATCTATTGAGATAATCATGTGGTTTTTGTCTTTGGTTCTGTTTATATGCTGGATTACATTTATTGATTTGCAGATGTTGAACCAGCCTTGCATCCCAGGGATGAAGCCCGCTTGATCTTGGTGGATAAGCTTTTTGATGTGCTGCTGGATTCGGTTTGCCAGTATTTTATTGAGGATTTTTGCATCGATGCTCATCAGGGATATTGGTCTAAAATTCTCTTTTTTTGTTGTGTCTCTGCCAGGCTTTGGTATCAGGATGATGCTGGCCTCATAAAATGAATTAGGGAGGATTCCCTCTTTTTCTATTGATTGGAATAGTTTCAGAAGGAATGGTACCAGCTCCTCTTTGTACCTCTGGTAGAATTTGGCTGTGAATCCATCTGGTCTGGACTTTTTTTTTGGTTGGTAGGCTATTAATTATTGTCTCAATTTCAGATCCTGTTATTGGTCTATTCAGAGATTCAACTTCTTCCTGGTTTAGTTTTGGGAGAGTGTATGTGTCGAGGAATTTATGCATTTCTTCTAGATTTTCTAGTTTATTTGCATAGAGGTGTTTGTAGTATTCTCTGATGGTAGTTTGTATTTCTGTGGGATCGGTGGTGATATCCCCTTTATCATTTTTTATTGTGTCTATTTGATTCTTCTCTCTTTTTTTCTTTATTAGCCTTGCTAGCGGTCTATCAATTTTATTGATCCTTTCAAAAAACCAGCTCCTGGATTCATTAATTTTTTGAAGGGTTTTTTGTGTCTCTATTTCCTTCAGTTCTGCTCTGATTTTAGTTATTTCTTGCCTTCTGCTAGCTTTTGAATGTGTTTGCGCTTGCTTTTTTAGTTCTTTTAATTGTGATGTTAGGGTGTCAATTTTGGATCTTTCCTGCTTTCTCTTGTGGCATTTAGTGCTATAAATTTCCCTCTACACACTGCTTTGAATGCATCCCAGAGATTCTGGTATGTTGTGTCTTTGTTCTCGCTGGTTTCAAAGAACATCTTTATTTCTGCCTTCATTTCATTATGTATCCAGTAGTCATTCAGGAGCAGGTTGTTCAGTTTCCATGTAGTTGAGCGGTTTTGAGCGAGATTCTTAATCCTGAGTTCTAGTTTGATTGCACTGTGGTCTGAGAGATAGTTTGTTATAATCTCTGTTCTTTTACATTTGCTGAGGAGAGCTTTACTTCCAAGTATGTGGTCAATTTTGGAATAGGTGTGGTGTGGTGCTGAAAAAAATGTATATTCTGTTGATTTGGGGTGGAGAGTTCTGTAGATGTCTATTAGGTCTGCTTGGTGCAGAGCTGAGTTCAATTCCTGGGTATCCTTGTTGACTTTCTGTCTCATTGATCTGTCTAATGTTGACAGTGGGGTGTTAAAGTCTCCCATTATTAATGTGTGGGAGTCTAAGTCTCTTTGTAGGTCACTTTGTAGGACTTGCTTTATGAATCTGGGTGCTCCTGTATTGGGTGCATATATATTTAGGATAGTTAGCTCTTCTTGTTAAATTGATCCCTTTACCATTATGTAATGGCCTTCTTTGTCTCTTTTGATCTTTGTTGGTTTAAAGTCTGTTTTATCAGAGACTAGGATTGCAACCCCTGCCTTTTTTTGTTTTCCATTTGCTTGGTAGATCTTCCTCCATCCTTTTATTTTGAGCCTATGTGTGTCTCTGCACGTGAGATGGGTTTCCTGAATACAGCACATTGATGGGTCTTGACTCTTTATCCAATTTGCCAGTCTGTGTCTTTTAATTGGAGCATTTAGTCCATTTACATTTAAAGTTAATATTTTTATGTGTGAATTTGATCCTGTCATTATGATGTTAGCTAGTGATTTTGCTTGTTAGTTGATGTAGTTTCTTCCTAGTCTCGATGGTCTTTACATTTTGGCATGATTTTGCAGCGCCTGGTACCGGTTGTTCCTTTCCATGTTTAGCGCTTCCTTCAGGAGCTCTTTTAGGGCAGGCCTGGTGGTGACAAAATCTCTCAGCATTTGCTTGTCTGTAAAGTATTTTATTTCTCCTTCACTTATGAAGCTTAGTTTGGCTGGATATGAAATTCTGGGTTGAAAATTCTTTTCTTTAAGAATGTTGAATAATTGCCACCACTCTCTTCTGGCTTGTAGGGTTTCTGCCGAGAGATCCGCTGTTAGTCTGATGGGCTTCCCTTTGAGGATATCCCGACCTTTCTCTCTGGCTGCCCTTAACATTTTTTCCTTCATTTCAACTTTGGTGAATCTGACAATTATGTGTCTTGGAGTTGCTCTTCTCGAGGAGTATCTTTGTGGCGTTCTCTGTATTTCCTGAATCTGAACGTTGGCCTGCCTTGCTAGATTGGGGAAGTTCTCCTGGATAATATCCTTCAGAGTGTTTTCCAACTTGGTTCCATTCTCCCCATCACTTTCGGGTACACCAATCAGACGTAGATTTGGTCTTTTCACATAGTCCCATATTTCTTGGAGGCTTTGCTCATTTCTTTTTATTCTTTTTTCTCTAAACTTCCCTTCTCGCTTCATTTCATTCATTTCATCTTCCATTGCTGATACCCTTTCTTCCAGTTGATCGCATCGGCTCCTGAGGCTTTTGCATTCTTCATGTAGTTCTCGAGCCTTGGTTTTCAGCTCCATCACCTCCTTTAAGCACTTCTCTGTATTGGTTATTCTAGTTATACATTATTCTAAATTTTTTTCAAAGTTTTCAACTTCTTTGCCTTTGGTTTGGATGTCCTCCCATAGCTCAGAGTAATTTGATCGTCTGAAGCCTTCTTCTCTCAGCTCATCAAAGTCATTCTCCATCCAGCTTTGTTCCGTTGCTGGTGAGGAACTGCGTTCCTTTGGAGGAGGAGAGGCACTCTGCGTTTTAGAATTTCCGGTTTTTCTGTTCTGTTTTTTCCCCATCTTTGTGGTTTTATCTACTTTTGGTCTTTGATGATGGTGATGTACAGATGGGTTTTTGGTGTGGATGTCCTTTCTGTTTGTTAGTTTTCCTTCTAACAGACAGGACCCTCAGCTGCAGGTCTGTTGGAATACCCTGCTGTGTGAGGTGTCAGTGTGCCTCTGCTGGGGGGTGCCTCCCAGTTAGGCTGCTCGGGGGTCAGGGGTCAGGGACCCACTTGAGGAGGCAGTCTGCCTGTTCTCAGATCTCCAGCTGCGTGCTGGGAGAACCACTGCTCTCTTCAAAGCTGTCAGACAGGGACATTTAAGTCTGCAGAGGTTACTGCTGTCTTTTTGTTTGTCTGTGCCCTGCCCCCCGAGGTGGAGCCTGCAGAGGCAGGCAGGCCTCCTTGAGCTGTGGTGGGCTCCACCCAGTTCGAGCTTCCCGGCTGCTTTGTTTACCTAAGCAAGCCTGGGCAACGGCAGTCGCCCCTCCCCCAGCCTCGCTGCCGCCTTGCAGTTTGATCTCAGACTGCTGTGCTAGCAATCAGCAAGAGTCCGTGGGCGTAGGACCCTCCAAGCCAGGTGCGGCATATAATCTCGTGGTGCGGTGTTTTTTAAGCCGGTCCGAAAAGCGCAATATTCGGGTGGGAGTGACCCGATTTTCCAGGTGCGTCAGTCACCCCTTTCTTTGACTCGGAAAGGGAACTCCCTGACCCCTTGTGCTTCCCAGGTGAGGCAATGCCTCGCCCTGCTTCGGCTCGTGCATGGTACGCGCACCCACTGACCTGCACCCACTGTCTGGCACTCCCTAGTGAGATGAACCCGGTACCTCAAATGGAAATGCAGAAATCACCCGTCCTCTGCGTCCCTCACGCTGGGAGCTGTAGACCGGAGCTGTTCCTATTCGGCCATCTTGGCTCCTCCCCTTCACTGTGAGGCTTTTAAAATAATCTGTGAGTTTATATAATTTGGGTAGAACAGAGTGCAGCTCCGTCATCAAGGGCAGGCATGTGACCCAGGGCTAGCCACTCAGATTATCCCTGGGTTTGGTTTAGAGATGGCTCATGATCTAGTCAGGGACAATGCAACTCAGTTCTAAGAGGTTAGAGGAGCTGTTGGGGAAAGAAGCTCTGTAGCTGGTGTAGCCATCTTGGCTCTAAGAGTCAGAGTAGGAGTTTCAAGAAGCTGGTCTTGCCATTTCCTGACTGAATGACCTTGGCAAGCCTCTTAACCAAGAGAATTGGGTGACCAATGTCTTCATTTTAAAAAAATAAAACAAAACCTGCCATGTTTGGTAGAGCATTCAGGAGAACCAAGTTAGTTTTAAAACTCTTATAGAAATTCTCGAACATCATGCCATTTTATTCACAAATTCTTCAGGATGCATTATTAGCTGGTAAGGCTATTTATATCCATATCTAAATTTACATCTCTGTTTCCATATATTGGCCATGCTATTATTATGCCAAGCAAAATTAAGTCATTCATCAATACAATTTAGTTCATATTTCTGTTTCCAAGATTGTCTCAAACATTTCATTTTTGCACTTGGTAAAATTGAGTCACAATCTGAACAAGTTGCACATTCTGCATATATTGTTATGTGTCTTAAGTTCACATTTGTTTTATAACAATGGGTTCCTTCAACCCATACCACTCTTTTGTTAGAGAAAATAGGTCATTTCTTTGTAAATGTCCCTCCCACTTCCTGGATTTTGCTGTGTCTTTAACTTGTTCTTCTATTCCCTGTCATTTTACAAATGGGTAGTTAGATCTACAGATTCAATTAGATACTGGTACAATTGTTAGGAAATTGTACTTTAGAGATGTTGCTATATCCTTCTTGTTGCATCATATTATGAGGCACATAATATCTACCTCTTCCCCTTTTATATGTCCTGAGGTTGAACAATGAGTTCAGATGGTGTCACCATGATGCTTTCCTTGTGAATTCCTCATTCATAATTCATTAATAATTGTGCTAGCTCCATTTTTGCATTTTATCATTCCTTCTGCAATTTATTAGCTACAGTATTTGTATAAAGAAAAACGTTTTTTCATCAACTATTTGGTTACAGTAAAACACAGGAAAGGAAGGAGAAAGAATTTCTTGTGGTTTTATTATGTAATGAATATTTATTCAGGGCCAGGAATTGTGCTAGGTGCTCGGACACAACCGCAAATGTATCTATATCCTACTGTTGGGAAGCTATGGCCTGGATAATACAGAGGAGTAAGTTAACAATTACTGTATAGTGTGAAATGTAAAGCAAGTTTATATTTCACTGGGAGTCCTGTGCTTCGGGTTGCTTTTTCTTTATGGTTTTAATCTATTTTGTATAGTGTATTAGTTTTCTTGTGCTGCCATAAAAAATACCACAGACTGGATGGCTTAAACAACAGACATTTATTTTCTCATAGTTTTGGAGGCTGGGAGTCCGAGATCAAGGTGCTGGCAGGTTTGATTCCTTCTGAGGCCTCTGTCTTGCTGATGGCCACCTTCTTGCTGTGCCCTCACATGGTCATCCCTCTGTGTGTGTATCTGTGTCCTAACTTCTTCATACGAGGATGCCAGGCATATTGGATTAGGACCCACCTGTACCAACTTATCTAACCTTAATTACCTCTTTAAAGACCCTTGTCTCTAAGTAGTCACAACCTAAAGTACTGGTGAGGACTTCAAAGTGTGAATTTGGGAGAGAGGCACAATTCAGCCCATAACATACAGTAAGAGCATTACATACTATCTCTCTCATTAGACAGCAAGCCTCTTTAGAGAGCAGAAACCTCCTATTGTATGTCATGAATTCTTCAGCACATCAAGTAAGGTTCTAGAAAGTGTTTATTAATGTTACAGTAGGTAGCTAGTCAGATATGCGCAGGGCAGGAGAGGGTCCTCCCACTGCCAACCAGGAGGGTCAGGCAAGCATCAGTTGATGGTCAGGTGGTTGTTGAACTGCCTCTCTAAAATAATAATTAGTTGCAGCCAGTGCCAGGGAAAGGCAGTCTTCCAATAGTTAGAAACACCTAAGGCTGATGATAAGCATCTTGTGGCTAAGATCTCAGGAGCTGGGTAAGTGGGGTTAAGCATGCTTACTAAGAGGCAAAATGGCTGAGCTTAACTGGTGTATGACCTTATAGGAACACTTGACTGGTAAGGGAAGAATGCCTCAAGTGAGCATGTGTACAACTCCAGTAAACACACTACACATGTGGACAGCCCACACCAAGGGAAGAATAAGGGGAGAAGTAATGCAACCCCAGAAGCATGCCAACGTATAATACCCCAAGTTGAAAGTCAAACTGTGCACTTGATCTCTCAGGTTGCCTGCTTGACCTTCTTCGAAGTGTACTGTACTCCTTTCATTCCTGCGCTAAAGTTTTCAAAATAAACTCACTCCTGCTCTAAAGCCTGCCTCTTTCTCTCCTGCCTTATGCCCCTCAGTTAAATTCTTTCTCCTGAGGAGGCAAGAATTGAGGTTGCTGCAGACCTGTACAGATTCACTGCCACTAGCATACTTTGGTGCTGTGTGACTTGGATATGTTCTGCTGCTAACATTAAGAGGTTTCTAGAAAGTCAAATCATAATAGAAAATACTCATTAAAAGCTTGTGTGAATGACAGAATAATGATACAGTGATTATTTCTTAAGCACTTATTGTGGGCCAGGGTATGTAATGTATATGTGTATATTGTCTCATTTCATCTTCAAAATGACCCTCATAGTTGACTTTCATTATTACTATCAGTACCATTTCCCCTTTTAACTATGAGGAACTCAAGAGGCCAAAGAGGTTAACTTGCCTGTGTTGCCATAACAAGTAAGTGCAGGATGCAGGATTTGAACCCAGAGTCATGGTCTGACTGCAATATTTTACCATCCGTGACATATAGGAAAGTGTTTTATAAAGTGTAAATTTTTATAAAAGGTTAGCTATTCATGTGGCTTTGCGGAAATAATATAGACTCTAGAGTCAAAATGGCCTCTATTTAATTTTCAACTCCATCACTTTTAGGTGTGATTATGGTCTCCTAATGTCTCTGAGACACAGTTTCCCAATCTAGAAAATGGAAATAATGGTATCTCCCTGGATGAATGCTGGTGAGCATTTGGAAGATTATCTGTGGAGACTCCAGCACAATGTCTGAGAGATTACATTCTTGATAAATGTCAACTAGTATTATATTCTCCTCATAGTACCTTGGTATTTTTTTTATTATACTTTGTGTGCAGAACATGCAGGTTTGTTACATAGGTATACACGTGCCATGGTGGTTTGCTGCACCCATCAACTCGTCATCTACATTAGGTATTTCTCCTAATGCTATCCCTTCCCTATCTCCCTACCCCTCAACAGGCCCCAGTTTGTGATATTCCCCTCCCTGTGTCCATGTGTTCTCATTTTTCAACTCTCACTTATGAGTGAGAACATGCAGTGTTTGGTTTTCTGTTCCTGTGTTAGTTTGCTGAGAATAATGGTTTCCAGCTTCATCCATGTCCCTGCAAAGGAAACAATCTCATTCCTTTTTGTGGCTGCATAGTATTCCATGGTGTATATGTACCACATTTTCTTTATCCAGTCTATCATTGATGGGTATTTGGGTTGGTTCCAAGTCTTTGCTATTGTGAATAGTGCTGCAATAAACATATGTGTGCATGTGTCTTTATAGTAGAACGATTTATGATCCTTTGGGTATATACCCAGTAATGGGTTTGCTGAGTCAAATGATGTTTCTGGTTCTAGATCCTTGAGGAATCACCACACTGTCTTCCACAATGGTTGAACTAATTTACACTCCCACCAACAGTGTAAAAGTGTTCCTTTTTCTCTACATTCTCTCCAGTGTCTGTTGTTCCCTGACTTTTTAATGATCGCCATTCTAACTGGTGTGAGATGGTATCTCATTGTGGTTTTGATTTGCATGTCTCTAATGACCAATGATGATGAGCTTTTCTTCATAAGATTGTTGGCCGCATAGATGTCTTCTTTTGATAAGTGTCTGTTCATATCCTTTGCCCACTTTTTGATGGAGTTGTTTGTGTTTTTCTTGTCAATTTGTTTAAATTCCTTGTAGATTCTGGATATTAGCCCTTTGCCAGATGGATAGATTTCAAAAATTTTCTCCCATTCTGTAAGTTGCCTGTTCACTCTGATGATAGTTTCTTTTGCTGTGCAGAAGCTCTTTAGTTTAATTAGATCCCATTGGCTTTTGTTGCCATTGCTTTCAGTGTTTTAGTCATGAGGTCTTTGCCCATGCCTATGTCCTGAATGGTATTGCCTAAGTTATTTTTCTAGAGTTTTCATGGTTTTTAGGTCTTATGTTTAAGTGTTTAATCCATCCTGAGTTAATTTTTGTATAACGTGTAAGGAAGAGGTTCAGTTTCAGTTTTCTGCATATGGCTAGCTGGTTTTCCCAACACCATTTATTAAATAGGGAATCCTTTCCCTATTGCTTGTTTGTGTCAGGTTTGTCAAAGATCAGATGGTTGTAGATATGTGGCATTATTTCTGAGGCCTCTGTTCTGTTCTATTGGTCTATGTATCTGTTTTTGTACCAGTACTATGCTGTTTTGGTTACTGTAGCCTTGTAGTATAGTTTGCAGTCAGGTAGTGTGATGCCTCCAGCTTTGTTCTTTTTGCTTAGGATTGTCTTAGCTATATGGACTCTTTTTTGGTTCCATATAAAATTTAAAGTAGTTTTTTCTAATTCTGTGAAGAAAGTCAATGGTAGCTTGATGGGGATAGCATTAAATCTATAAATTACTTTGGGCAATATGGCCATTTTCATGATATTGATGCTTCCTATCCATGAGCATGGACTGTTTTTCCATTTGTTTGTGTCTTCTCTTATTTCCTTGAGCAATGGTTTGTAGTTCTCCTTGAAGAGGTCCTTCACATCCCTTGGAAGTTATATTCCTAGGTATTTTATTCTCTTTGTAGCAAATGTGAATGGGAGTTCACTCATGATTTGGCTCTCTGTTTGTCTGTTGTTGGTGTATAGGAATGCTTGTGATTTTTGCACATTGATTTTGTATCCTGAGACTTTGCTGAAGTTGCTTATCAGCTTAAGGAAATTTTGGGCTGAGACAATGGGGTTTTCTAAACATACAATCATGTCATCTGCAAACAGAGACAATTTGACTTCCTCTCTTCCTATTTAAATATGCTTTATTTTTTTCTCTTGCCTGATTGCCTTGGCCAGAACTTCCAATGCTGTGTTGAATTGGAATGGTGAGAGAAGGCATCCTTATCTTGTGCCAGTTTTCAGAGGGAATGCTTCTAGCTTTTGCTCATTCAATATGATATTGGCTGTGGGTTTGTCATAAATAGCTCTTATTATTTTGAGATAGGTTCCATCAATACCTAGTTTATTGACAGTTTTTAGCATGAAGGGGTGTTGAATTTTATTAAAGGCCTTGTCTGCATCTATTGAAATCATCATGTGGTTTTTGTCATTGGTTTTGTTTATGTGATGGATTACGTTTATTGATTTGTGTATGTTGAACCAGCCTTGCATCCCAGGGATGAAGCTGACTTGATCACGGTGGATAAGCTTTTTGATGTGCTGCTGGATTCAGTTTGCCAGTATTTTATTAAGGATTTTTGCATCAATGTTCATCAGGGATATTGGCCTGAAATTTTCTTTTTTTGTTGTGTCTCTGCCAGGTTTTGGTATCAGGATGACATTGGACTCATACAATGAGTTAGGGAGGAGTCCTCTTTTTCTGTTGTTTGGAATAGTTTCAGAAGGAATGGTACCAGCTCCTCCTTGTACCTCTTGTAGAATAAGGCTGTGAATCCTTCTGGTCCTGGACTTTTCTTTTTGTTGTTAGGCTATTAATTACTGCCTCAATTTCAGAACTTGTTATTGGTCTATTCAGGGATTCGACTTCTTCCTGGTTTAGTTTGGGAGGGTGTATGTGTCCAGAAATTTATCCATTTCTTCTAGATTTTCTAGTTTCTTTGCATAGAGTTGTTTATAGTATTCTCTGATGTAGTTTGTATTTCTGTGGAATCAGTGGTGATATCCCCTTTATCATCTTTTACTGTGTCTGTTTGGTTCTTCTCTTTTTTCTTCTTTATTAGTCTGGCTAGTGGTCTATCCATCTTGCTAGTCTTTTCAAAAAACCAGCTCCTGGATTCTTGGATTTTTTGAAGGGTTTTTCATGTCTCTGTCTCCTTCAGTTCTGCTCTGATCTTAGTTATTCTTCTTCTAGCTTTTGAATTTGTTTGCTCTTGCTTCTCTAGTTCTTTTAATTGTGATGTTAGGGCATCAATTTTAGATCTTTCCTGCTTTCTCCTGTGTACATTTAGTGCTATAAATTTCCCTCTAAACACTGCTTTAGCTGTGTCCCAGAGATTCTGGTACGTTATGTCTTTGTTCTCACTGACTTCAAAGAACTTACTTACTTCTGCCTTAATTTCGTTATTTACCCAGTAATCATTCAGGAGCAGTTTGTTCAGTTTCCATGTAGTTGTGTGGTTTTGAGTGAGTTTCTTAATCCTGAGTTCTAATTTGATTGCACTGTGGTCTGAGAGACTGTTATGATTTCCGTTCTTTTGCATTTGCTGAAGAGTGTTTTACTTCCAATTATGTGGTCAATTTTAGAATAAGTGTGATGAGGTGCTGAGAAGAATGTATATTCTGTTGATTTGGGGTGGAGAGTTCTGTAGATGTCTGTTAAGTCCACTTGGTCCAGAGCTGAATTCAAGTCCTGAATATCCTTGTTAATTTTCTGTCTCATTGATCTGTTTAATATTGACAGTGGGGTGTTAAAGTCTCCCACTATTGTTGTATGGGAGTCAAATCTCCTTGTAGGTCTCTAAGAACTTGCTTTATGAATCTGGGTGCCTCTGTACTGGGTGCATATATATTTAAGATAGTTAGCTCTTCTTGATGCATTGATCCCGTTACCATGATATAATGACCTTCCTTGTTTTTTTTTTTTTAATCTTTTTTGGCTTAATGTCTGTTTTATCAGAGACTAGGATTGCAACCGCTGCTTTTTTTTTTTTTCTTTTTTTTTTGCTTTCCATTTGCTTGGTAAATATTCCTCCATCCCTTTATTTTGAGCCTATGTGTGTCTTTGCATGTGAGATGGGTTTCTGAATACAGCACACTGATGGGTCTTGACTCTTTATCCAGTTTGCCAGTCTGTGTCTTTTAATTGGGGCATTTAGCCCATTTACATTTAAGGTTAATATTTTTATGTGTGAATTTGATCCTGTCATTATGATGCTAGCTGGTTATTTTGCCTGTTAGTTGATACAGTTTCTTCAGAGTGTTGATGGTCTTTACAGTTTGGTATGTTTTTGCAGTGGCTGGTACTGGTTTTTTCTTTCCATATTTAGTGCTTCCTTTAGGAGCTCTTGTAAGGCAGGCCTGGTGGTAACAAAATCTCTCAGCATTTGCTTGTCTGTAAAGGATTTCATTTCTCCTTCACTTATGAAGCTTAGTTTGGCTGGATATGAAATTCTGGGTTGAAAATTCTTTTCTTTAAGAATGTTGAATAATTGCCACCACTCTCTTCTGGCTTGTAGGGTTTCTGCCGAGAGATCCGCTGTTAGTCTGATGGACTTCCCTTTGTTGGTAACTTGACTTTTCTGGCTTCCCTTAACATTTTTTCCTTCATTTCAACCTTGGTGAATCCGACAATTATGTGTCTTGGGGTTGCTCTTCTTGAGGAGTATCTTTGTGGTGTTCTCTGTATTTCCTGAATTTGAATGTTGGCCTGTCTTGCTAGGTTGGGGAAGTTCTTCTGGATAATATCCTGAAGAGTGTCTTCCAATTTGGTTCCATTCTCCCCCATCACTTTCAGGTACACCAGTCAAACGTAGGTTTGGTCTTTTCACATAGTCCAATATTTCTTGGAGGCTTTGTTTGTTCTTTTTCATTCTTTTTTCTCTAATCTTGTTTTCACACTTTATTTCATTAAGTCTATCTTCTACCTCTGAGATTGTTTCTTCCACTTGATCAATTCAGCTTTGATACTTGTGTATGCTTCAAGAAGTTCTCGTGCTGTGTTTTTCAGCTCTGACAGGTCATTTATGTTTTTCTTTAAACTGGTTTTTCTAGTTAGCAATTCCTTTAACCTTTTTTCAAGGTTCTTAGCTTCCTTTCATTGGGTTAGAACATGCTCCTTTAGCTCGGAGGAGTTTGTTATTACCCACCTTCTGAAGCCTACTTCTGTCAATTCATCAAGCTCATTCTCCGTCCAGTTTTGTTCCCTTGCTGACAAGGAGTTGTGATCCTTTGGAGAAGAGGCGTTCTGGTTTTTGGAATTTTCAGCCTTTTGGGGCTGGTTTTTCCTCATCTTTGTGGATTTATCTAGCTTTGGTCTTTGATGCTGGTGACCTTTGGATGGGGTTTTTGTGTGGACGTCCTTTTTTGAGTTGGTGGATTTCCCCTCACAGTGTAAACAAAGCCACTGGGAAGTAGGAACTGGACGGAGTCCACCACAGCTCGGCAAAGCCACTGTAGCCAGACTGCCTCTCTAGATTCCTCACCTCAGGGTAGGGAATCTCTGAAAGAAAGGCAGAAGCTCCAGTCAGGGGCTTATAGATAAAAATCCCATCTCCCTGGGACAGAGCACCTAGGGGAAGGGGCGGCTGTGGGCGTAGCTCACAGCCTTTGGATGGGGTTTTGGTGTGGACATCCTTTTTTGTTGATGTTGATGCTATTCCTTTCTGTTTGTTATTTTTCCTTCTAACAGTCAGGCCCCTCTGCTGCAGGTCTGCTGGAGTTTGCTGGAGGTCCACTCCAGACCCTGTTTGCCTGAGTATCACCAGCAGAGGCTGCAGAACAGCAAAGATTGCTGCCTGTTCCTTCCTCTGGAAGCTTGTCTCAGAGGGGCACCCGCCAGATGCCAGCTGGAGCTCTCCTGTATGAGGTGTCTGTCGACCTCTGCTGGGAGGTATCTCACAGTCAGGAGGCACGGGGGGCAGGCACCCACTTGAGGAGGCAGTCTGTCCCTTAGCAGAGCTCAAGCACTGTGCTGGGAGATCCGCTGCTCTCTTTAGAGCTGGCAGGCAGGAATGTTTAAGTCAGCTGGAGCTACGCCCACAGCCACCCCTTCCCCTAGGTGCTCTGTCCCAGGGAGATGGGATTTTTATCTATAAGCCCCTGACTGGAGCTTCTGCCTTTCTTTCAGAGATTCCCTACCCAGAGGTGAGGAATCTAGAGAGGCAGTCTGGCTACAGTGGCTTTGCCGAGCTGTGGTGGACTCCGTCCAGTTCCTACTTCCCAGTGGCTTTGTTTACACTGTGAGGGGAAATCCACCTACTCAAGCCTCAGTAATGACGGACACCCCTCTCCCACTAAGCTCGAGTTTCCCAGGTCAACTTCAGACTGCTGTGCTGGCAGTGAGAATTTCAAACCAGTGGATCTTAGCTTGCTGCTTTCCATGGGGGTGGGATCTGCTGAGCTAGACCACTTGGCTCCCTGGCTTTAGCCCCCTTTCCAGGGCAATGAATGGTTCTGTCTCGCTGGTGTTCCAGGCACCACTGGGGAATGAAAAACAAAACAAAACAAAACAAAAACTCCTGCAGCCAGCTCGGTGTTTGCCCAAACGGCTGCCCAGTTTGTGCTTGAAACCCAGGGCCCTGGTAGTGTAGGTACCCGAGGGAATCTCCTGGTCTGCAGGTTGCAAAGACCATGGGAAAAGCATAGTATCCGGAATGCACTGTTCCTCATGGCACAGTCCCTCACAACTTCCTTTGGCTAGGGGAGGGAGTTCCCTGACCCCTTGCACTTCCCGGGTGAGGTGTTGCCCTGCCCTGCTTCCACTCGCCCTCTGTGGGCTGCACCCACTGTCTAACCAGTCCCAGTGAGATGAGCCAAGTACCTCAGTTGGAAATGCAGAAATCACCCGCCTTCTGTGTTGATCTTGCTGGGAGTTGCAGACCGGAGCTGTTCCTATTCAGCCATCTTGCCAGCCACTCGGTATGTTTTTATACCCAGTAATTTTCTTATTAGCTGATAGGAGATCATCACAAATGAATGAAGACAAAAGGAAGTAGCAACATATTTTCCTTATTATAGTTGACCCCAGAGATACAGATTCAGTTCGTAGATTCATTAGCTCATTTCCACAGCATTTATTTTTTGTGCCCATGGCATGTGACAAATGGGAAGAGGCACCATGTGCAGGGGGATCTTAATCACTTTGGAGCTTGCGCTCAAAGGCTTCACTTCTGCATGATGATTGGTGTAGATGCATTTCTAGTAAGTTAAGTTGCAATGTCCTCCATTCATTCATTTGCCAAAATGGCCCAAATGTCATCCAATACACAAAATTATAACAAAAATATAAACAGAATAAATAGCATCATGCATTTACTTTGAAATCCATCTTCAGGTAATAGAGTTGAATAAATTTTTATATTAAACAATAAAAAACTTATGGCTTATTTATAAATTTCAGTAGAACTACTCTGGAGTCTAATTCTCAACTTGTTATCTTTACAGGGGATGCCGAGAGCTTTGGCTTCATTTGGAATGTTAAATTGCCATAATTCTTTTTTTGAAACTCATTAAATTTTAACTAGAGGCATGCACTTTCTGCTCAACTTGGGGGAAAAAAGTATTTTAAATATCTGTCAAGTCTGTCGTCATTCCTCATAGAAATGTGACTAATTTTAGGCCTGAAAATGTTGATCTGCTCCAAGGAATGCTGCAAATGTTACCCAGTGAACATGCAATGGAAGCACATGTACAAACAGTAGAGCACAAAATCTCAGAAGTTTCCTGGTGTATTAATACTGGGAGACTTGATTTGAAAATTTCCCATTCAACTCTACTAAAGAGTAGGGGATGGGGTGGGGAGAGAAAACCCACTTATCTTAAAGATTCATGATTCAAGCCCCTGATAGAATCTGCAGTTTCCATAGTGCTGGGCCCTAGATTTCCCTTTAATGTAATTAAGCCTCAAGATTTATGAATACAACAGGCCAGAACTTGATCCGTGTTCATTTTCAATTACTGCAGTGAAAGGGCTCTATCCAGATGTCTCTATTTACAGCATTCAGGCAGGCCAGACCAGGGGCCAAGGGGGGGAGGGCCCACAAATTGTCACACTTGTTAATTCTTCACAGAGGATACTCAGCTGAGGTCCTGGCTTTGACCCCGTGACAAAGGGCTGGGGGCCCCAGGGCAAGGGCATCAATGCTTCCAGGGACAACACAGTGACCCATGGGGGTCACTCCTTCTGCTTTGTAGGTATTTGTGTAATAATGGGGTCCATTCCTTATTTTTATTTCTGTTACAGTTCTGGGGGCATCGAAGGAAAAATACTGGCTCCAATGTGGATGTGAAAGACAAACATATATAATGAGAGCATCAAGTGTCCCCTGGCAACAGTAACCATGATAAAATGCTACAGGGAAAATACACAGTATGCAGTGACCCACATAATCGGGCCTATTTTGAGAGCATTGTTTTATTTTTCTTTTGAAGGGTGTTGTGTCTTTTTTTTTTTTTTAATGTTCCCAGGTTGCAATTTAGTTTTGTTGGGATTATTGGAACACAAGTGTCTTTTTTCTTGTTACAGTTACAGTCTTGCTTGTTTTGGAGCTGGTTTTCTACCACCAGATACCCACCTGCTAGTGCAGTCTAAAATATTCCGTTTTATTTCCTTTATTTTTGCTTTAAAAAATTTCTATGCTTTCCATGGCCATTCTACAGGTTTCTTAGACATGTGCTAAGTGTTTTCTTACACTGGGACATTTGCATTGAGGTATCATTTTAAAAGGAAAATCCCACACAAAAGGCTTAGAAATAAGAGCCCAGCAGGGGACTCAGAACCACTAATGAAATGTACCGCATCCAGTAAAAAGCCCCAAATCCTACTCCACACTTTTCCTCTGTGGCGTGTGTCTAGTCCATCATTTTATTTTCTCAACTCACAGGCCAGAGTCGTTACCTTGTGAAAAAGAATGAATTGGGATATTGCTTTTGTTGAACAATAATTGGCTGTTATATTAAAGTGTGGCCCAGTAAAATGGAATTGTTGGCCAATTCTCTTCCATTTCAGAGGGTTGTTTCTTGAAAGTACTGCAAATCTCCTCCTTGATTAGCCCCTTTAAATCAATTTTGGGTTTTTCTTTTTTGAGTCATGACCTTTACAGGACTCAAATTCATTTCAGTGAATTTAAAGAGATTTGAATAGAACAAGGGATTGTTCAAAAATAGGGCTTTCAATCAGATTTATCCATTGTTGCTTTTCTGAGCAACATCTCTTTTTTCTTTATTTAAGGAGCGATTTAATAATTCAATACTGACTCTAATCAAGTTCAATACTTCATTATACATAAAGCTATCCCTCTGGCTCCAATGAATACATTTTAGAAACAAATAATATAATTTCTGACCATCTTATTCTTATTATTATTATTTGGAGCATGAATGTAACCAGGAATATAAGACAGGCGAATAGGATTGAAATATTTTGTAATTAGTCATTCCTTCTGGAAAGTTGTTATCTTGACAATTTAGCAGTTAATTTGTATCTTTTGCACACACACTTGTGCAGACATCAGATCTTTATTCCTCAGTTCCTAGAGGGAATTATAGCCCAACGGTATGTTTCATAACAGTTGTTTTAGAACAGTATTGAAACACTACTACTATACTGGAATATTAGTTCTTTTTTTGAGTTTTATTTAGTTCATTTGCTACTAGTTGATCATGCTGATATTTATTTATTTATTTATTTATTTATTTATTTATTTATTTATATTTATTGACAAGGTCTTGCTCTGTTGCCCAGACTGGAGTGCAGTGGTGAGATTATGGCTCTCTGTAGCCTTAACCTCCCAGATTCAAATGATGCTCTCACCTCAGCCTCCTAAGTATCTGGGACCACAGGCACACACCACCACACTCAGGTAATATTTTTTATTTTATTTTGTAGAGACAGGGTCTCCTGATGTTGCCCATGCTGGTCTCAGACTCCTGGGCTCAAGGGATTCTCCCGCCTTGGTCTCCTAAAGTTGTGATTACAAGTGTGAGCCACTGCACCCAGCCCTAAAATATTCTTACATTTATATTTATTTGGTTTTACTTTTCTCTTTGCCTCCTTTCCTCTCTTCTACATTATCTTCTTCCCTTCTCTATTTTTTCTCCCTTGTCATTAGCCCCTGGGCCTCTCGTGTCTTTGTAGCAGGCTAGGCACTGTGAGACAGAAGTTGCAAAGATGAGTAAGACAGGCTTCTTGGTCCCTAGGACAACATTCCCAACCACACAATCTTCTCATATTGGTGCACTGTGATTACTTAAAGGTATTTTTGTGAGTAAGTTGTACAATAAAATAAAAGATTTTGAAAATATTTGAAAAATGTGTAAGAATAGGTTCACTGTCTTCTCACTTTATACTATGCTTTCTTGAGTGGGAAGAAATAGTGGAATTAACGCTATTTTGCTGGGAATTATTCATAACCACAAATAATCCAATGGTCGTGTCAATCTACAATGTGTATAGTGCAAAAGAAACATGCAGGCTGGGCGCGGTGACTCATGCTTACAATCCCAGCACTTTGGGAGGCCGAGGCGGGCAGATCACGAGGTCAGGAAGTCGAGACCAGTCTGGCCAACATAGTGAAACCCTGTTTCTACTAAAATCAACCGGGTGTGGTGGTGTGCGCCTGTAATTCAAGCTACTTGGGAGGCTTAGGGAGGAGAATCACATGAACCAGGGAGGCGGAGGTTGCAGTGAGCAGAGATCGTGACATTGCACTCCAGCCTGGGTAAAAAAAAAAGAAACATGAAACATGCAAAGTTTGAGAACCACTGCCTTAGAGAGTTTGCATTAGAAGGGGAAGTGCTGACACAAGGAGACAATTGATGAGCAGTAAAGGGATACAGAAGACAAAAGGAGAGGGAGAAAACTGGAAGCTCATCGTGAGTGTACCACTTAGCAAAGATCTCGGTATCCACGTCCTCATGTGGCAGTTTGCAAGATTTCCAAGTCTTCCAAAGAATCTTCAAAGGAAAGAAGTCCCCAATGTGTACTTTTTCTATTGTTGTTTTTGTAAGCACAAAGGGTTCAGTTAGAGGGGTACTGCAAACCCACCTAAGCAGACAAAACCAAGTTGTTTGAAATGTTAATTATCAAGCTGTAGCAATTAGAAAATATCTATAATATAATGTTACATTGAAAAAACATATGTTTACAATGAAAACAACTATGTAAAAGTATGCCTATGAAGGACAATACAACTTTTCCCCTCTGTAACATTTCCTTTCTAAAGAAATGTTTTTAAAAATGCAATTTTATATGATATCTGTGTCATTTACTTGGCCACATGTTAATATAACAGCCAATAATTGTTTATGCAAAACAACTATATATAGTACTGTTACATAATTTTATACAATTAATCACAGTTGTGGAATTTTTTTGTTATAGAAAACCCTTTGCACACATTTAGTTTTGTGGCAGAAAACCTTCTGTATAAAGCCCCTGCTTGACTGAAACTGGAGGCAAATAATATCAGGGTTCGGGCCCCAGGAAGCAGAGCTATGACGAGGTATCCACACAAGGTGGCCAGGAATGGAAATGACTAGAGGGTGATTCTGAGCTAATATTCTCAGAAAGGCCAAGGTCAAGCTGGGGAAATCAGGTTTAGTTGAAGGAGTGGACACAAATAGATCTGAAGGACTGGCAAGTGTGCTGAGCAGAGTTGGAGAATTTGAGAGTCCAGCATGGGGGACTCTGTTTAGGGATATTCAGACAGTTGGAGTCACTGGTCTTTATAGCCATCACCACCGTGATCCATGGTGGGTTAGACTGGATTACAGGAGGAGCCCTGGGGAGGTGAAGGACTTGTCTTCCTCTCTGCTTCCTGTCTCGTCACCCATCTCCTCTATGTCCTGATTCTCCTCTAGTCTGTTTTATCCCATAACAACTTCCACCTGGGGCCCAAGGTGACCTTTCTAAAACCTATCTTGGACCACTTTTGGCTAAGATCAAGTATAAAACGTATCTTGGCTTAAAAATTTACACCTTTGCTTAAAACATGATGACTCCTTATTGCCTTCAGAATAAATTCCAAACTCCTTTACAATTTTTTTAAGGTTCTTTGCCATCTCAACCCTGGTGCCTCTCCTTTTATCTGCCTTAAACTCTGTTTCCTCTTTAGCCTGCCATCTCACTGAACTCCCTGTGGTTCTCTGAATGTGCCATCATTGAAAGATGATAGCATTTGTACGTGCAGCTCTTCCTGCCTTACCTCATATTCTCATTTAACTTTCATCCAGATCTAAGTTTGGATGGCTCTTTCTTTGGGGAGCTTCCCATGATATCCCAAGACTGACTTAGATTTTTCCCCTCTAGTACAGCTGTTCAGGACTCATCTGTTTAATTCTTTTTCCCTGATGGGCTGAGACTACCAGAAGCACATGTGGAAAGAAGTGCAGACCTTTGTCAATAGTAGATATAAGATAAGCGAACTGTGTAATATGGCTACCAAAAAAAAAAAAAAATTTAACGGAATGTTACATACAGAAAATGAGCTTCCTAAAATAGTTTTAAAAGCATTTTTTTCTGCCTATCTGTTGATTGTAAACTGTTAGTGTTTATTGCAGTGATGACACTGGTTTGAACTGGCCCCTCTTCCTGTATCACAGTAGCTGCTCATGATCTGGGGCTTGTTATTTTCAACAAGGCGATACAGGAATGATAAATTAATGGGAATAAAACATCCTCTTGAGACTGAAGAAAGCATTAAAGCATCCCACCCGAGACCACCACCAAAAAGTATTGTGTTTATTCACATACATGCTACATTTATTACTATATGCAGACAGTTAAAAAAAAGTTTGCTTCCAGGAATACAAAGATAGATATTTTTGCCCTGACATAACTATTTTACAAACACTCTATTTTCTCTATTAAAAGGATCTCCTGCTCCATGCTTCCATACTTCTGATCTTCCGTAAGAAGATCAGATTATCTTCTTAGCATTATATGTTAGATAAGAGTAGGCCGTATGATCCTATCTAGAAGACGGCATGCCTGCTGGTATCTGGCTTTCATGTCCTTTGATTTGGATTCTAGGACACCTGTGTTCACGAATTGATAATTCCAAAACCCTGAATTTTTCCAATGTGAGGATTACTCCATTAAAAGAACAAATATTTCTCCAGTCAGTGAAAGGAGGATTTGGTTAGGTAGTACTTTAGAAATAGATCTGGTAGTACTTTAGAAATAATTTAAATACCATTTCTATGTTAGTGGTAGAAATAAGAAGTTATTCTAAATAGCTCTTGGCCGTAGGGTAGAATAGCAAAGTTATCTTTTAAAAATGTCTCTATGAACAAAGTTGAATTAGACAGAATTAAAGAGTTAATGGATATTCTTTGCCAGAATTCTTCAGTGTCAACTAACTTTGTAAAATCTGGTTTCTGTTACTTAAATCTCATGTTAATAATGCCATTCATTAATTAATCTAACCATTGACTCCTGCATACATTCACCCATTTATCCAATGATTCATTATCTTTCTATCCACTCACTCATCAGTCCAACCACTTCTTATCCTATCCATTTCTGCATCCATCCATTTATCTATCTGGCAAATCTTGTGCAAACGTCTACCCAGTATAACTTTCCAGGTACTGAGAGGATTCAAAAATAATTAAGATAGTTTATCTTCTCAAAGTGCTTAAAGGTTAATAGCAGTCTCTTAGGTAATTAAGATTGGGACCTGGATGCGGATAGGAGAGAAGAGAGTGGAAGGCAAGAGACAAAGTATGGATGCTGCCATACACATGGGAAAGTGTAAAGTGCAAAGGGAACAATGAGGTGTGTGAAAAGGTGTGTGCAGGGGAATATGGAGGCTAAGGCTGAAAGATGGTTTGGATAAAGGAGCTGAAGCTCTTAAATGCCAAATGGAGGAGTATGAAGAACCTCTGGTGATTTACGAGCAGGGAAAATAACATGAAGTTTAACTATTCTTTAGGAAGATCAATCCAGGTCATTTTAGGGGATGGATTGGATGAGAGCAATATGAGAGAAGAGGGAGACTGGTTAGTGCTACAAGATAATTAGGTTTACCCTTTAAATCACTTACAGCATACAAACTTTGCCACAGTTAAGTGGGGGGGATTTTCCCATTAAAATTACTCAAGTATTGTTTGTATTTCAGAGACAGAAGAGGGAAGTTATGCCTATGTTACTCTTTTTAGTTTATGTTCAATGTTGACTGTCTCCTAAATATTGAAGAGAATAATTTATGTATTCAAACAAACTCTTCCTGGACTGGTACATTCAGATAGCTTTTATTACAGTGAGATAGGGAAGGTATGGAGAGAAGACACAATTATCAAAGTCCATGTTTGAAAATAAGGGAAGGATAGGCCCTTTCTCTTAATAAAATTACATCAATCCATTCTCCTTGCACATACTAGTTATAATATCTTTTGTGCAACTAGTGTAAAAACAAACATTTAACTCAGTTGCAAAGCTTGCTTTGAAGCATACTATTCAAGGTTTAGAAGACTAAAACAGAGGTGAAGAACTCTGTGTCAGTTCTCAAGGTCATTGAGTTGAAAGAAGATAAAATCAGAATTATGTAAAGTATGGAACAGGAGATCCTTTTAATAGAGAAAATAGAGTGTTTGTAAAATAGTTACGTCAGGGCAAAAATATCTATCTTTGTATTCCTGGAAGCAAACTCTTTTTTTTTAACTGTCTTGCATATAGTAATAAATGTAGCATGTATGTGAATAAACACAATCCTTTTTGGTGGTGGTCTCGGGTGGGATGCTTTAATGCTTTCTTCAGTCTCAAGAGGATGTTTTATTCCCATGAATTTATCATTCCTGTATTGCCTTGTTGAAAATAACCAATCTAAATCTCTCTGTGGAGTTGCTCTCTGGCCATCACTGGATTTCCAGGCTCTCAAGAAAATGTGTATATTTTTCCAATATGTTGAGCTCTGCCCAGTGCAGTGGGCCACTCACTTCTCCCATTCCCTATAATGCACTAAACCTTTTGGTTCACAGAATGTTCTCTCAGATTTTGCGAGCTTCACCAGCTCTCCAAATCAACTGAAAAACTGGGAGTCACAACCCTTTTTTTTTAACCTACATTACTTTTTATATGAATTTTTGCATTATTTTATGAAAATGTGCATACCCCTACAGAATGACATAAAGTTTGATTAAAATGAAAACAAGCAACCAAAATGACACCTAGCACACAGACCCATGTGTTGCACAAGTTGCACATGTATACACGTATACACACTCAGTTGCAGAAAGGCCAATAAAAAAAAAAACCCACTAAACAAAGACAATGGTGCCTCAGTAATCACCTGCTAAATCATGTAGACCCATCTGAAAAGAATGAGGAAACCTACAGAAAAAGGCAGAGAGTTTTTTCTTCTTGGAAACAGGAGGGAAAAACAGAATAAAATTTGGCACTTTATCAGCATGGCAGCTGTGCCTGTCTCCACAAGAAAACACCATCAAGCAATTCATGAATTCATGTTAAATAATTGCTCTTCACGTAAGGTGACTATTGTGTTCTGTCCCTAATTATGAATATCTTACAGTCTGATTTTTGGCACATTTACTCCTGTTTAAAACCAAATTAAACTCTGAAAGCATATGTTACTGTAAAGCATGAGTCTCAGGCGGTCATGGCATTTTGCAGAACATTATTCCGCAGCTATCTTAAAAATCAAAAGCACTTGATATTGATTTCTATTTTCATTGCACTGTGATCTGAGAGTGTTCTTGGTATGATTTCAGTTTTTAAAAATTAATCGAGACTTGCTTTATGACTGAGCATGTGGCTGATCTTAGAATATGTTCTGTGTGCAGATGAGAAGAATATATATTCTGTGGTGGTTGAGTGGAGTGTTCTCTAAATGTCTATTAAGTCCAATCGTTAGTCAATTGTTGAGTTTAAGTCCAGAGTTTCTTTGTTAGTTTTCTGCCTTGATGATTTGTCTAATGCTGTCAGTGGGGTGTTGAAGTCTCCCAGTAGTATTGTGTGGTTTTCTAAGTCATTTCTTAGGCCAAGAAGAACTTGTTTAATGAATCTGGGTGCACCACTGTTGGGTGTGTATATATTTAGGATATTCAAGGCTTCTTATTAGATTGTACCTTTTATCATTATGTAATGTCTTTCATTATCCTTCTTAATTCTTATGGTTTAAAGTATTTTTTTTTTCCTAATATAAGAATAGCTGTCTCTACTCTTTTTTTGTTGTTGTTTTCTGTTTTCATGGTAGATCTTTCTCTATCCTTCTACTTTGAGCCCACGGGTGTTGTTACATGTAAGACAGGTCTCTTGAAGACAACAGATGGTTGAGCCTTATCTTTTTATCCAGACTGCTATTCTGTATCTTTGAAGACAAGGATGCCCCTCTCACCACTCTTATTCAACATAATACTAGAAGTCCTAGCCAGAGCAATCAAGCAAGAGAAAGAAATAAAAGGCATCCAAATAGGAAAAGAAGTTAAACTATCTCTCTTCACTTACAATATGATTCTGAGTCTAGAACGACTCTGCCAAAAGGCCCCTGGATTGGATAAACAACTTTAGTAAAGTTTCAGGATGCAAAGTTAATGTATAAAAATCAGTAGTATTTCTATACAGCAGCAACTTCTAGGATGAGTGTGAAATCAAGAACACAATCCTACTTACAATAGCCACAAAGAAAATGAAATATACCTAGGAATACAGCTAACTAAGGTAGTGAAAGATCTTTATAAGAAGAACTGTAAGACACTGCTTAAAAACATCGGATGCAACACAAATAAATGAGGAAATATTCCATGCTCATAGATTGAAAGAATCAATATAATAAACATGGCCATACTACCCAAAGAAATGTACGGATTCAATGCTATTCCTATCAAACTACCAATGTTATTCTTTGCAGAATTGGAAAAATGATTCTATGCATCTGGGAAAGGACTGGTATCCAGAATCTGCAAGGAACGCAAACAAATCACCAAGAAAAAAACAAACAATCCCATAAAAAAGTGGGCTAAGGACATAAATAGACAGTTCTCAGAAGAAGATATGCAAATGGCCAACAAACATATGAAAAGATGCTCAACATCACTAATTAACAGGGAAATGCAAATCAAAACCACAATGTGATGCCACCTTACTCCTGCAAGAATGGCCATAATGAAAAAATAAAAAAAAATAGATATTGGTATGGATGTGGTGAAAGGGAACACTTTTACACTGCTGGTGGGAATGTACAGCCACTGTGGAAAACTATATGGAGATTCCTTAAAGAACTAAAAGTAGAACTACCATTTGATCCAGCAATCCCACTACTGAGTATCTACCCAGAAGAAAAGAAAATCACATTTTCACATGCATGTTTATAGCAGCACAATTCACAATTGCAAAAATATGAAACCAGCCTAAATGTACATCAACCAATGAGTGGATAAAGAAAATTATAATGATGTATATATAATATACACATACACACACACACCATGGAATACTACTCAGCCATAAAAAAGAAACAAAATAATGGCATTTGCAGCAACCTGAATGGAGTTGGAGACCATTATTCTAAGTGAAGTAGCTTAGAAATGGAAAACCAAACATCCCATGTTCTCATTTATAAGTGGGAGCCTAGCTATTAGGACACAAAGGCATAAGAATGATACAGTGGACTTTGGGGACTTGAAGTGAAGGGTGGGAGATGGGTGAGGGATAAAAGACTACACACTGAGTACGGTGCACACTGCTCAGGTAATGGATGCACCAAAATCTCAGAAATCACCACTAAAGGACTTAACCATAAAACCAAACACCACCTGTTCCCCCAAAACTATTGAAATAATAATAATAATAATAGAGTAAATACCAAAATAAAATTCATATGGAATGAAAAAAGAGCTTGTATAGTCACAGTAATCCTAAGCAAAAAGAACAAAGCTGGAGGCATCACACTATCTGACTTCAAACTATACTGTAAAACTGCAGTAGGCAAAACAGCATAGTGCTGGTTCAAAAATGGACACACAGACCAATGGAACAGAATAGAAAACTCAAAAATGAAGCCACACACCTACAGCCATCTGATCTTTAACAAGGCTGACAAAGAAGCAATGGGGAAAGGACTCCTTATTCAATAAATGGTGCTTGGATAACTGGCTAGCTATATGCTGAAGATACTTTCACCAGCTTTCACCCATGTACAAAAATTAACTCAAAATGGATCAAAGATTTAAATGTAACAGCTCAAACCATAAAAATCCAGAAGACAACTTAGGAAATACTCTTCTTGACATTGGCCTTGGCAAATAAGTTTTGGCTAAGTTTCCAAAAGCAATTGCAACAAAACAAAACATAGACAAGTGGGACCTAATTAAACTAAAGAGCTTATGCACAGCAAAAGAAACTATCCACAGAGTAAACAGAACCTACAAAATGGGAGAAGATATTTGCAAACTATGCATCCCACAAAGGCTAAATATCCAGAATCTATATGGAACTTAAATTAACAAGAAAAAACAAATAACATCATTAAAAATGGGCAAAGTATATGAACAAATACTTCTTAAAAGAAGACATATAAGGAGCCAATAAATATATGAAAAATGCCCAGCATCACTAATCATCAGAGAAATGCAAATCAAAACCATGGTGAGATGCCATCTCAGACTGTAGAAAGCAGTCTGGAGATTACTGCAATTTAGGTTTGCAGTAAGTTGTAGTAAGCCAACCTCTGCCTCCCAGGTTCAAGTGATTCTCCTGCCTCAGCTTCTTGAGTAGCTGGGATTAGAGGTGCCCACCACCATGCCCAGCTGATTTTTGTATTTTTAGTAGGGACAGGGTTTTGCCATGTTGGCCAGGCCAGTCTCGAACTCCTGACCCCAGGTGATCTGCCTGCCTCAGCCTCCCAAAGTGCTGGGATTACAGGCGTGAGCTACTGCGCCCAGCTGTCTCTTTCAAATTTTATTCCAGTTTACCTGATGAACACCGTCACATGTGTGTATATCACAATATTATTTATTTGGTTATTACTGTTTAGCGGAGGTAAAACAATCTTAGTGTTTAGTTGAAATGCAGTTTAATAAAAATGGGCTTGGTGTTCAATATATTTCTCATTTCAGTTCTGAACTATGACATTTTACTTGTGCTGATTCCAAGGTTAAAAATTTAAACTCAGTTAAAATGTGAGTCTTCAGAAAGAGTTTCAGAAAATGTGCTTTATCCTGGGTTATCAGATGGTGTTTTGCCGCCTTGGTTGCAAGTCCTGATGTGGCACCTTTGTTGAGTGTAGTATACTTTATGCTCTACTAACTCAGATCATTGTAATTAGTTGCCAGTGATCATTGCATTGGTAACCATCTTGGGCTCCTCTATAACATATTTAGAGTAGAAGTATGTTATAGCCTTCAAATAAACTTTTTAAGTCAATTTCTTTCTCTCTGCCTGTCTCCCTCTGTGTATGTGTGTGTGTGTTTGTGTGCATGCATGTGCACACATGTATACATAATTGTTTTAGTCTGTTCAGGATGCTGTAACAAAATACTTTAGATAGGGTAATTTATAAACAACAGACATTTATTGCTCGTAGTCCTGGAGGATGGGAAGTCCAAGATCAACGCACAAATAGATTCAGTGGTGAGGGCTTGCTTTCTGCCTCAGAGATGCCTTCTTTCTGTGTTCCTCCCATGGCAGAAGAAGATAACAAGCTCCCCTGGCTTCTTTTTCATAAGGGAACTAATCCTATTCATGAGGGCTCCACCCTGATGACCTAGTCACTTCCCAAAGACCCCACTTCTTAATGGTATTAAGGGGTTGGGAATTAGATTTCAACACATGAGTTTTGGAGAGATACAAACATTCAGATTATAGCAATAATTGTTTGTATCACAATTTTACTTTCTGTGCTTTTACTTCTGCATAGTAACTATATTGTATCTGACAACATTATATCAAATGAAAAAAAGTAGAGTGTCATGGTAAGAATACACTGCTACAGTTTTGCATAATAAAATTGACAGTAAGTTCCCTTTTGATTATGATTTTTTAAAACTTTTGCATATTAATATTAATAGAATTAGCTATATAGTTCTATTAGAATAATGTCATTACTAAAAGAGATAGTTTTTTATATATAGAGCAAATTAGCTGCATATTAGCTTGATATGATGATAAGGCTGGCAAATGAATCTGCAGGTGTGCAATGCACTACAGCATGGACAAGGGAGGATGGAAACAACTGCTCTCTAGTATTTTTCTGTACACATGCCTTGAAGGAAATTAAGAATAATAGTAAAAGTTATTGGGGTATATTTGGAGGCACTTTGGGCACACATCTTGGTTCAAATCCTCCTTGCTTGGTAACTGAGTATCCTTGGACCTATCATCTAATCTTTCAGTCAGCTTTTTTATCTAAATAGAGATGACAGTAGCTACTCTATACAGTTGCTGAGATGTGCTCAGTAACCGTTGATTTCTCTTCCCGCTTTCCTTATGGCTGGCTTTCAAGAGTGTGAATAGACATGAACATACAGAGTCTTCTACTTTTAATCTGATTTGTTAATCTGAAAGGACAAAGGTGAGACTGCTCTGATCCCTAAGAATAGAACCACCCTGGGAATAACTCCTCTGTTTTCACCTGCCCTGCTTTCCATGCTATTCTTGCTGGAATAAAGTTGCAGTTCCAAATGTTCTTCTGGCAGCTCTTTCCAAGGCATTACCTAGAGCAAAGATGGTTGAAGTATGGGTAGATATTCCCCATCCATCCTGGGGCTTGCTTGTGGCCATGACAATCATGCCAGTCAGTCAAGGCCTCTTTCTTATGAAACCTGGAAGCATCTCCAGGGAGCCACTCCCCACTTGGCCTAAGTTGGCATTTAAGCTATCCTGACTTAAAAATTCTATAGGAGAAAGCATACAAATTGGAACACAAGGGTCTTGACTCACAGATGATCACACAAATATTTTTGCTTCTTTTTCAGACAAGCATAGAGATTAAATGGATTACTGAAGATCCTAAATTGATTGGAGAAGCAGGATTAACATTTGGGGTTCTTGACCTCAAAATTAAGCCTCCTTTTAGTTTAGGCTCTTCAATTTTTCCTTCTGAAAATATTGTCTCCCTGGAAGTGGGTGGCTGCAAGAAACAGTTGAGTTTGAAGTCTTTGCAGAATTATGCAACTACTGACTGGATGACAGTGGGGTAGGAGAGTTACGGGAGAATTCAAACATCAGCTGGCATGTTGGATTAAATGATCTTTAAGATGTATTCTGGGCCCCAGATTCTGAGATTCTCCTTACGGTGTCACTTAGGAATGTAATTTCCTAAACATGAAATGTCTCAGGAAGTAAGTTCCATGTCTGGGACTCATTTGCAATTAGACATTCAAGACTCTAAATAACATTTGGGTTAATTAACTTTTGCCTGGTTTCATAAAACACATTTAGTACTTCTGACCATCTTAGTGTATTGTGCTCAATATAAGATTGTTAGTAGACTTGTGAAAATTACAAAATTTAGAAAATAAGAATCATGATGAAAATACTGAATACATTATTTTAAAGTCAAGGAACTGCTAGGTGCATGACATGATATCATAATTATTTTTTGGTAGGGAAAAAATCTTATTTATCTGCATACTCATCTTAAAAAAGATCTATTAAAAAGTTGATAATTTAAGATAATTCCAGAATACGAGATTTGAGAAGTGCACATCTATCCATTTTTGACCACAATGAATGTTAAATAGATTTTCAAGTTTTTTTTATGGGTATCAAAGTGATGTTCTTATTGAACCTTAAAAGCCATAGTGAGCCTTCCTTGTCTCCTGTCCTCCCCCTTGCAGCATTGTAAATCTAACTTCTGCCCGTCCTATTGTTCAGAAAAAAGCAGCCATATTGTGCTGATTGCTATTAAATTAAAGCAGAAAGGGAGAGACACAAATGTGGAAGCCCATCTTACCAGCAGGGATACCACTATCTTTTATTTTGCATTTTGGGAGGGTCAGAAAGTCATGACAGGCCTCTGACCTCTGATAACCTCTTTGATGCTTCTGTGTGCAGTTTTTTGGGGAAGAACTTAATTAAATACAATTGAATTTCCCTGCTAACATTACCACTGAAAGGACTCCTTTTAGATGGCTCAGTGTTTGCTGGTGAGGAACAAACAAAGATGCTTCTTTTGTTCCTCAAAGAAAAGTTAGCATATGTTAGTTAAGGATTTGTGATTTCTTTTGACTAGACTGGCGGGTTCCTAAAAATTCAATGAGTCTTCTGAAATGGTAACCATGATAAAACATGAAATATGCGGTTAACTAAAACCCTAACTCTCTTTATTCCTGTTGGTTATTACTAAGGTTAATCTTTTAAAGAATTTACTATGTTAATCTATACTTAAAAATTATGAGCATTTATTTATAATGAAATTGCTAATGTTTGGATACATCAAATATAACTTGTTCATCTCCTGGATTTTTTAGGTACCAGAGGAAGGGAAGAGTTACCAGCAGATGCACTTTTGTGCTTTTACCTAGGAGACAGTTAAAACAGGAGTTGACAAAAAATATACAGTTTTTGGTTTTGAACAGTTTGTTGAAACTTTAAGAAGCTTGTCTACAAGCTACACTTTAATAAAATGCAATAATCTATGTACTCTATAGGTTAAAAATCCATTTTCCCATTGTTACTCTTGGGCTTCTGAAATCAGTGGCTGATAATGACAAATGGAGGAATCAGTTTTATAATCATACACAAATAATAAGTTATTTTATTCAAATTTGAGACTTGGTACTTATTGAGAGAGGAATTGGGTTTATATCTTCTTAGATAAAAAGAAACTTTTCATCCTAGATGATTTTGTTTTCCTTGAAGAGAAGATTAGAATTAGGAGCTGATGCTTTTGAATTTAAAGTTGACTACTGTGTGTGTTAAGCCTACTTCCTCACCTCCACACCCTCTTCCTCTGTTTCTAAGCTTTCCCAGATCTCTCTAATTATTTAGGGGGAGAAAAAGTCAACACTTGACTCTGCTGACCTATCTGGCTGCTGCTCCGTCTCTTGTGTCTCATGCATGGTTAAATTCCTAAAAATGGTGTGTACTACACCCACAGCCTATATTTCCATGTCACTCTCCAGAATCTAGTTTCTATGTTCACTATATACTATGTACTCCAGGGCAAGGTGCCCACAATCAGGGCTACCATGTAAGTTTGATGTTATACCTTACACATGACTCCAAGCCAAGGGGATAGGAAGAGGCTAAAATTTTGGTGCATTTAATGGCTAGACTAAGTCCTACCACGGGGCTTTATCTGCAAAGAGGGGGGTGCCATTGTTACTATGATGATGATAATGATTATTTTGTGCTTTGCCTGAAGACTCCATAGGGCTAGCTGTGGCTTTGTCAACAATTCCCTTGGTCCAGTCTCAGCCTTTACTGTCTGATCTTATTTTTCAAAACTCAACCTTTGAAAAGCATGTGATCAAGAATGAAACCTCATTTGTCTAAAGGGTGCAAAATTCTTTGTCAACAGGAGGTCTTCCCCAAGGCTGTTAAAATCTTAAATCACTATGGGATTGGGATGAATTGTAGTTGACCTTTGAACAGCATGAAGGTTGGGGTGCGGTTGCCCTGTGCAATAAGAAATCCATGCATAACTTTTGACTCCCCCAAAACTTAACTATTAATAGCCTACTGTTGACAGGCAGCCTTACCAATAACAGAAACAATCAATTAACACACATATTTTTGTATGTTACGTGTATTATATACTGTATTCTTAAAGTAAGATAGAGAAAAGATGTTATTAAGAAAATCATAATGAAGAGAAAATATATTTACTATTTGTTAAGTAGAAGTGAACCATCATGAAAGTCTTCATCCTTATTGTCTTTACATTGAGTATGCTGAGGAAGAAGAGGAGGGGTTCGCCTTCTGTCTCAGGGGTGGCAAAGATGGGAGAAAATCACTGTATTAGTAGACCTGCGCAGTTCAAACCCATGTGTTGGTCAAAGGTCTACTGTATTTTTCTGTGTATTTAAACAGAATACTAGTTGAGGGAAGAAAAATAAAGATTAAAATCATTATGTAAAAATGCAATGCCAGTCTCTTTTTTTAATCACTTGGCTGTCTCATCCTATCCCCCTCTGCAATCATCCTGATGGGAGACACCTGAACACTGTGAAGAGGCTGCAGGCTTTATGACTAGGAAGGCTCACCTTGGAATCGCAACTCCACCACTTACTCAGTGATATTGCCTTGGCTGTCATTGAGTTCTCTGGGCTTCAGATTTTTCATCTACAAAATAAGGATAAAAATTGTTGGCTGTCAATAATTCTTTGGTGGAGGATAAAGGGAGTTATTACGGGGCACAACTACTATTTGGCCTGGCAGCAGCTCATAGCAGAGTCAGAATGTTCTCTCAGTCTACACTTTCCCCGTGCTGACCCTCTGTTAACATTACTTTTACTTGTTCTTTTCAACTGGATTTTTTTTTTCTTTTTGCTCTTTCTTCAACATCTGGCTCAGCTGACATCTCTTCCAAGAAGTGTTTACTGATTCTTCACATTTGTCTAAATCTTCTCCTTAGGTCTGGGAGAGGAGCTCCCCTGGTACCTTATGCATCCATTTTCATAGTCTTTATCCTGTTGTGCTGTAATTGCACCAGGGGAGCATTGTGGAGATTATGCTTCATTTATTTTTGTATCCTTGGTACTGAACATAGTAAATGGCAAACCAATAACTATTTGAAAAGCTGAATTGTCTTGATCTCAACATCTGGACAAGTGGAGAGAAAAGCATCAGCAAAGCCATGGCAGTTGGGAAACATAGATCATTAGAAACAGTGGTGACCAGACCCCTTCCTTGTATGTTTCATCTGTAATGGATATTCCTCTATTGCTTAATTTCTGATCTATTACACTATCCAGGTCTCTTCTTGGAGAAGAACTGATCTATTTCCAGGGCTTCAGCTATGTCTTTTCTTGACCATACAACCTCTTGAAAGCAGCTATCTACAAAGATCAGTAGATCAGTACCTTGCTGTTCCAGAACCAACATCACCTGGGAGCTTGTTATAAAACCAGAATCTCAGGCCCTCCTCTAGACCTCCTGAATTAGAATCTGCATTTTAGCTACTCCTCAGGTGATTTTGATGTACAGTAAAATGTAAGAAGCCCTGGATTAGTAGTACGTGCCTTCAAGAATAGTGTATTCCCTGAATTTATTGATATTTAAATGCCTTTGCCTATGAAGTCTCAGGGAAAGGCATTGGGTCTGTTGCAAGGAGAATGAAATAGTACACTGGTATATTGATGAGATCTTGGCCAAAATCGGGCAGTAATTTTCTAACCAAGTTAACCACAAATGAAACAATCCACATTAGATTAGAACTAAGTAGACAACCTAAATATTTAAAAAGGGTTCAAGTAAGTGAGAAATAAGTATTTCATCTTAATGTCTTGATCCTCTGCTTGGATAGAAAATGATTATCATCTTAAAGAGAGACCATTTCTTTAGAAAGAAATACACTACCCCACATCAAGGCAAACATGTTTTTTATTTGGTAGTAGTTTAATGACCGAAGCAAGGATTTCAAAAGCTATCTCCTGGTTTCCGTTCCAGTCTCAGAGGCAAAGCAAGTATTTGCTTTCAGCATAGTTGACACCCAAGCTTTTTGCAAATGTTTCCACAAAGCCAGCTGTCCTTTGTAGATCCCCCTGGGAACTTTTCTTTTGGTTACTAACCCTCGAGTGCCTACAGCTCCCGATTTGTGAAGGTATTTGTCAGATGGAAAGAGGTCATGAATCTTCAGATCTTTTTGAGGAGCATGATCAAGACTCCAGTTTGAAAAACTTTATCCCTTTGCTCAGACCTTTGGGCTCATCTGAAGACCCCCTTCTCCAGCCTTATCATCCCATTGGAACATGCCCCTCCACACACATAGATAAACAAAAACAGCATGTCTGTAGCATTTCTTGGCTAGTATATTATAGGGTTAAAATTCTGAGAAAATTCATTCTTTATCTGAAAACTTCATTGGATTTTAAATGCATTTTTATACTAACATTTCTGTTGATGAGTCTTGTGGATGCATGAAATTTTATGTTTACTGCTTTTGTTTTATCACCAGTTCAGTCATGGTTTCTCCCTGGATCTCGCCTTTGTATCTTCCCTAGTACCTTATTCCCTCCTCCTTTTTAAATAACAGAGTCCCAGAGAGTGTTTAATGACTGACCTCTAATGCCATGTGCTCAGTTGAATAAAAGGCTGTGGTCAAACACTCATCTGGAGAATCATGTTACAAAATCGTCAGTGACAAGGACCTGCTACTGAGATATTGTGGCCTTCCAAGGACCTGATGGCGGATTCAGTTTTTACTCTTCATGCACCTATTAGGTGGTTCAAGTGTATAAATGCGTGCGTGTGCACTTGCGTGTGTGTGCATGCCTGTGAGCGTGAACAGAACAAAAACCTGAACTCTCTAGCACATACCACCTGTTTTCACATCATTGTTGTTACAAAAGGCTTTTTTTCCCTCCTTTAATTAGCTGAGCTGTCCTATTTTTTCATAACTTGCCTCTTCTCTAACATATGGGCTGTAACCGTATTTCTTTTCATTAGACCTGAGCCTTGTTTGTCATTTATACCATACTTTTGCCTTTCTCTTTCATTTGGAAAGAAAGAGAGGCTTTTCTATTATTTTAGAGCAAAGCACCTCTGGTTTATGTGGCGACTCTTGTGGCTTTCTAAATGCACTTGATTTAGCTTTCAATGTGTAATTACTGCCAAACAAGTTAATTGCTTTATAAGTGTCCAAAATTCCCTGGTTTAATTTTGCTTTCATTTAGCAACCTTCATTATACATCCACTGTTCAACATAAACACAAATGATTGTTAATGAATGCCTAATGCCATATTCATTAGAAAATCAGGTTAATGACTGGCAATGAATATCCCAGCTACTTTATTCTTTCAACCTTTTATTTATTTATTTTTGCCTTGTTGATTACAATAGCATTTTTGTTTACCAGGCAATTCTACCTGTACTCCTAGTCTGTTTCTTTCTGGACTCCTCGTCTTGCTTAAAAGTTCAAGGTAAAGGTTTCTAAGGTACTCCCATTCCTTAATTGTTCTTTCTTCCTTCTTCCTGCAGATACCTCCAATATATGCAGCTATTTGTACATAAATTATGTCTCAATAATGCTTTATAAAAAATTTAAAAACCAAGATAATCAGAATGCACATGATTTCCTTGGGCTATTGGCTACCATAAAGTCTTGTTGTTTGGAGAACAGAAATCTCAGGACTGCTTTGTATAGATGGTCAGGTGGTACACTGAACTACCCTAAGAGGTATTGTTTTTGCATCACAGTCTCTGTGAATGATGCCACCCTGTTGTGCCATCCACAACTTGCATAGCTCTGAGGAGTGGCACTAAGAAATCTCCACTGAAATAAAAAATGTATCAGAGCAGGGTGGTTTGGGACAGCATTCAGTGCTTCGTGCTGACTGCCCTGGGCAAAGGTTGACTACTTGGAAGACACCGGATGTGTGAATGTACATGGTTCGAGTGAGTGGCAGGAAGTCCATGGAGAAGGAGAACTGAGACGCAAATTATCGGGATGGGCCTAATTTTCCCCCGGTGATTCTTGCTTTGTAAATGAAATTCCTTCCCCTCCCTGCAGACATGGCTTTTCCAATCAAACCAGCAGCTGGGGTTCAAAGGCTATGCATGTATGCTGATAATCCAACAGAGGACGATGGGCAGAACACAAAGTCCAGATTCTGAAATTTGAGCCCTGGCTTGTCACTACATGGTTGTGTGATCTCGAGCAGTTTCCTCATCTATCAAATGCAAATGTTGGCGATTTAGAATTCCTTCTGGCTCCACACCTTGTGACACCACATTCCTTTTGGGATGACAGGATAGTGCCCCTGCATCCTTTTTCTTTTTTTTTTTTTTTTGAGACGGAGTCTCGCTCTGTTGCCCAGGCTGGAGTGTAGTGGGGCAATCTCAGCTCACTGCAAGCTCTGCCTCCCAGGTTCACGCCATTCCCCTGCCTCAGCCTCCGGAGCAGCTGGGACTACAGGCGCCCGCCACCACTCCCGGCTAATTTTTTTGTATTTTTAGTAGAGACGGGGTTTCACCGTGTTAGCCAGGGTGGTCTCGATCTCCTGACCTCGTGATCCGCCCGCCTCGGCCTCCCAAAGTGCTGGGATTACACGTGTGAGCCACCGTGCCTGGCCCCTGCATTCTTTAAGTGCATTGATTGGATGCTTACCATGTGCCCAGCGCAGAGTTGATGTCAGGGATACTAGGTAGAAGACACATTTTCTAGACCTCATGAGAGGACATAATGGGGGTCCCATGTGCCCCACCTGTCTTTGACAGGCAGTACAAATGCATCACAGTTGTAGCACTACTCAGCTTCAGTGCTGTGAAATCTATGACCCTCCCCAATTATTTACTCCAGATTCTAGTAATTTTACCTATTTCTGCCACCTTGGGTCCCCTTCTACTTCTCGTGTCAACATCCTTCAGTCATGGTACTTTGATCTCAAAGAAGCTCTTGCTTCTTCTTCCATTTTTGTCCAATTTCTGTCTCTAGTCCATCACCCAAGTCTACATAATCTGTATTCCTTGACTCCACCTATGTCTGTACCTTCATAACCTTTAGTGTTATTGGAATCTTAACTTTATTTGTGTGATTCTTTGGTTACTACCTCCTGCTTTAGACTCTAATCACCTCTGGGAAAAGTAGTGGGCAACTCACCATTGTTTTTCTGACATATACTTGTATCCTGGTGACAGATTTTTTGGGGGTCTGTCCTTCATGACACCAATCTTAGCAGACTGGTTTTAGCAAATATTGGGCAACAGAAAGTCAAAGACCTTGAGGAGCATGACTAAATAAATAAAAAGCACCAAATTGAAAACCAGAAGTCTGAAAACAAATCCTGATATTATCTTATTAAGGTTTGATATTTTAAGTAAAATTGCAAGTAAGCTTCAAATCAAATGTCTGGTTTGATATTTAAGTAAAATTGTTCTCTTCCATTGTGAGATCCTCAGGGGTTACCTCTTCTGACCTCCCTGAGTATACCTATTGCACGTATTGTAGATTTGTTTCATTCACAGGTTTCTACAATGATAATTCTACGTGCCAAGCAACTCCAAATAAGTGACTTTCAACAAGAAACATTGATTTCTTATTTATGTTCATGGGCCTGTGGGTTGACTATGGCTGCATTGGGCTCAGCTGGGATGGGCTTCAGGCTATGGGAGGTACATCAAAGTCACATGGCAAAGGGTGTAAATGTTTAATTCTATTTCATCCCAATATATCACCATATTTTCAAAATACTTCATCTCTCTCTTTCATCACATGTATCAGAGTTAAAATTTTACATTTATTTGTGTGATTATTTCGTTAATACCTGTGGCTTCCTCTGGACTCTTGAGGATGGGAGGTGTGTTTTGGGCTCACCATTGTTCCCAACGCACCTGGGACAGTGTTGTGGGCAATATCGGGTACTCAGTGAATGAACAGCCATTGTTTGAAAGAATTAGCTTCTGATCTGCCTAAAAACCATCTCAGGAATGGAAATGTTTCTTTGTAAGAATTATTGAAGTGATACTAAATGCCTTGTTTCTAATGTTTCAGAAATCCCCTTGCTATATTCCCATTGTGAGCAGTGCCACCCTGTGGGATAGAAGCACACCCAGTGCAAAGGTGAGTCAGCGGAATGTTATGTGCAGGGCTGCTCCATAGTGCCGTCCTTTAGGGTTCAGTTGCTTTACATGTAAGCAGATTTGTTTCTTTGTATTTTTGACTTTATAGCTAGTAAAGGATTTTTTACATTTTAAAATAAGAAGAATGTTAAAAGACATTTCCTAGAAAACTTTGGATCTCTGTTTGAGAGTCATGCCAACTCCTTATTCTTTGCACGCAGATATGTACACCTAGAAAAACGTGTATCATCCACTGATGTCCAAGAATAGAAATCACAGTGCATTAGGGGTCTTTGCAGTGCCTGTATGTGGCCAACATACAGAAACTAGGGCAATAATTTTATCTTACCATCATCCATAAAAATTTACAGCTGAGTTCACTAGGCAAAAAGTTGACCTGTTAGTAGTGTTCCTCTCCTGTACCACCTTCTACTAATTGGTTGCTAACGCTCTTTTTCTTGGTGAGAGCCAAAGTGAATGTTTGTCCCTACGATGTGCATATGCATGACTATGAATGACTACGATGTGAACATGGAGATGGTCACCATGGCTGGCAAGTCCAGTTGTCATGGAGCTGTGGTAGCTTTCCAGATTCAGTCCCACCGGAGCTTTGTTTACAAAAGCAGGATTGGGATAAAAAGAACCTTTCAGCCAACACTGAAATTTACATCCTAAGGGCTTTAATCACCTTCATTTCCTTCCTATTTACCATGAAGGGAATTGCAACTTCCTCTAAAAAGGAACACAGCCCAGCAATACTGAGGAAATCACAACATCCCAAGCACATGAGGAGGAGATAGTTTTCTCTTCTATGGACTCCCTTTTTCAAAATTCGTGAGCAGGATTGGCTTAAATTACAGCTTGCAGAAAAGTAGCATATGGTGACTGGAAATACGATTCAAGAGTAGAAATCAAAGATGTAGAAAATCACATTTTAAGATTAATGGAAAAGGCCAATAGTAGAAAAGATGAAAAACATGACCTAGTTGAAAAACATGACCTGGTTTTCTTACTGTTCTTACTTTGCACTAAAGCAGAGGAATATAGCTAAGTAAGGCACCTGCAATATGGTGTTTCATTAGTTATATGTCCATTTGGACGTTAAGGATCTGTGCAACTGAGGGATTCCATGACTCCCAGAATGGACTGTGTTAGAAAGGAAACAGGCCCCAGCAAAGTCCCTTTGTTACTACTATTCCACAACTAGTATGTCAAGACTCTTAGAAGGCAACACTTCATGAAAGGGGACCACAGATCCAATCTCACATCAAGGAGTAGTGCAGGTGACAATGAGAGTTGGCATTTAGCTCATACTGCAGCAAGATGATGCCTCTGGAGCTCACAGACCAGTGCCCCCTGGGTGCCACTCCTTTCCTCTGACAGCTTAAGTTAGGATGGGGAAGTGAGTGCAGTCCTATGTAGATCAGGACTTGGCATCAGCTAGATCCTCTTTTAAATTGCATCATCCCTTCCTCTCTCTTTCTTCTCTCTCTCTTCCTCTCTGTGTTTTTGTGGCTTTGGAGGAATTATAGAAATAGGACTAAAAACTTTTAAGATGTATATCTTTAAAATACTTTCGTATTATTTGTTTTATATATAGTATATACTGTATATTGACTGCCATATACTTTATTATATATTATACATGGTATATTATGCACTGTACGTCAGATGTTATATAGCACATGTATATGAAACATATATCATATATAACATACTATCATATATGTCAGATAACCTGTATTGTGTATGTGTGTGTGTCTTTGCGTGTCTCTGTCTCTGTGTCTGTGTGTATGTATTCCAGTATTATACCTTACATATTGTATTTACTGACCACCTAACAATAGTCAGATACTAAAAGCAACAGTAAAGAAAAAAGTCTTTGCTTTTTAAGAGACTATCAATAGTGAAGAACATAAATAATGGGAAATTATCAGATAAATAATTCAGATAAATAATTCAGGTAGTTCCAGGAAACTGCTTTGTTATGAAAGCTGTAGATTGGTGGTAATGAGGCTGAGGGTCTCTTGGGGTAGGAGGAGGGTGCTGCTTTTGTTAGGGTAGGGTGGTCATGGAAGGCCTTTCTTCTTCTTCTTTTTTTTTTTTTTTGAGTTTGCTGGATCATATAGTAATTCTATTTGAACCCGGGAGGTGGAGGTTGCAGTGAGCCAAGACTGCACCATTTCACTCCAGCCTGGGCGACAGAGTGAGACTCTGTTTCAAACAAACAAACAAATAAACAACAACAACAACAAAAATAGACTTAATAGTGAGCCTTTAGAATCATTTTCATTAAAATAAAGAAAAACACCAATGACTACTATTATTACGTCTACTCAAAAATGTCCTCGGGGTTCAAAGCAATAAAATATAGGGAAAAATATATAAGAACTGGGGGGAAAAGATAATATTGATTATCTACCTGGAAATTCTAAAATTATCTCCAAATTATTAAAATATATAAATTATTAAAACTAAAACTATAAATTACTTTGGAATAAATTTAAAAAATCATAGGACATATATGGAAAAATGTATAAAACATTATTTAAGGATACAAAAGAGGGTGCCCAAATAAATGAAGAGATAGTATGCATATGAATGAGAAGTCCATCATAGTATTTTTGGTGAAGTTAAAAGAAGACTGATCCTATAAGTTAAATGAACGATCAAGTTATGATCTTTCAGTTATGAAGAAGAACAAAATATGGGAACTTGTTTTACCAGATATCAAGACTTTTTATAAAGACTTAGTCCTTAAACAGCATGCTATTTGCTCAAGGGTAGGCCCGTGGAACTGAACAGAATATATAAATCTGATATACAAAAGAAAGGATATTAGATACTGATGGGGAAAGGAAGGACTATTCAATAAATGGGGTGGGGACAACTGGTTATGCCTACAGAAAAAAAAGGTAATATTATATATCTATTCACACTAAATAGAAAAGTAAACTTTGGGCAGGTTTAAGAAAACAGTAACTTTTAGATAAAATACAAAATATATTTTATGATCTGAGGGGTATAAACGGGTTTCCTAGGGTATAAAAATCATAAACTTTCAAGATATATTGATAAATTTTACTACATTAAAAATTAAAAAGTTTCCTTTACCAAGCTTTAAAACAAAAATAAAGGACAAGTTACAAGTTAACAACAAATATTTGGAGAGCAAATACTAACAAGGAATTTATATCTATAATTTACATAGAATTCCCACAAATTTGTAAGAGAAAGATAGTTAACTGGGTAGAAAAATGAGCAAAGGATATGAATTGACAATTCACCAACAGGAAATCTGAATATCCAATAAAAGTATAAATAAATGTTTTAGTTTACTAGTGTCAAGGGAAATGCAGATAAAAACTGTAATGAAAGATGATTTCATACTCATAAGTTGACACAAATGAAAATGTCAGATGATAAAAAGTGTTGACAAAGGTATAGAGAAATGGAGAGTCTCACATAAGCTGCTGCAGAATCACTTTAGAGAGCATTTTCATGATCTAACACAGTTGTAGAATGCAAACACCTTTTATTTTATTTTTTGATACAAATATTTGTACCTATTTATGAGGTACATATGTGATATTCTGTTTAATGCACTGACTGTATAATGATCAAGTCAGTGTGTTTGGGGTGTCCATCACCTTGAGTATTTATCATTTCTATGTGTTGGGATCATTTCAGGTCCTTTCTTCTGGCTACTTCGAAATATATAATACATTGTTGTTATTGATAGTCACCATACTCTGGTAATGAACATTAAAATGTATTCCTTCTATCTAAATGCATGTTTATACCCATTAGGCAACCTTTCTTTATCCTTACTCTCACCCTAATATGCTTCCCAGCCTCTAGTATTCATCATCCTGGAATGCAAACAAATTTGACTCAACAATTTCCACCAAGGTATGAAATTAGAGACTGTGTACTCAATGAAGACACATAAAGCAGTTGTCCCCAACATTTTTGCCATCAGGAATTGGTTTTGTGGAAGATAATTTTTCCACAGACAAGGAGGGGTTTGGAGGAGATGGTTTCTGGATGAAACTCTTCCACCTTAGAAGATCATCAGACATTAATTAGATTGTCATAAGGAGTGTGCAACCTTGATCCCTCGCATGCACAGTTCACAATAGGGTTCGAGCTCCTGTGATAATCTAGTGCCACCACTGATCTTACAGGAGGCAGAGATCAGGTGATAATGCTTGCCCCCAGCCTGGCACTCACCTCCTGTTGTGCCACCTGGTGCCTAATGGCCTGGGGCTTGGGAACCCCTGACATAGAGGACTGTTTTCTGATGCAATGATTTGTAATGGAACATTAAAAAGCACATGTTCATTAACAGGAGAGTAGATAAATACCTTGTGGCCTAATTTATGCAATGGTCTGTTGCAACTAGTTTAAAGGAATAAATTGAAGCTATACAGACCATCAAGGATAAATCTCAATAATCTGATGGCGAATGAAAGTATCAAGTTATAGAATTACTTACATGTTTGGTAAGACAGATACTGTCATTTAGAAGATAAAATTATACACCTTTGCTTTTCCCTCCCAGTTTAGAACCATTTGAGATGTAGACACACAGATCAGACAGATGTTGGTAAAAATATATTCCAGGTCAAAGCTGGATTGAAGAGCTTAGTAATGTTTCCAAAAATATAAACAGATCATATTCTTCTGCTCACAGACTTCCAATGGGCTTCAATTTTACCACAGTAAAATCCAAAGTCTTTATCATGATTCCAAGACTCTACATAATCTGGACCCCTCTACCCTACTGGTCTCCCCACTTGTATTTTACTCTCCAGCCCCTTCCTCTGCTCAGTCCTCCAAGCACACTTCCCTCCTAGGTCCTTTGCAATTGCTGTTTTGTCTACTAACAATGCACCTTCTTTCAGGTCCTGAGCCCCACTTGCCTCAAAACCAGTAGACCTGGTCTGGATGCACTCTCCCAAGAAACTTGCCAACTAATGACCAAGGATCTAAAATAATGGTGTCCAAATTTTAATTGCAAATGTCTAGCAATGATAAAAAATTTAGTGCCCATATCTCATATACTTATAGACAGATATGTACTACTCCATTCATTAAAATGTTAGAAACTAGATTATAATGTATTTATGTTAGTATTTGTCAATTTCTACACTGCTATAAAGATACTACCTGAGACTTGTGAGACTGGGTAATTTATAAACAAAAGAGGCGTAATTGACTGACAGTTCTGCATGGCTGGGGAGGCCTCAGGAAACTTACAATCATGGTGAAAGGTGAAGGAGAAGCAAGTACCTCTTCACAAGGTGTCAGGAGAGAGAGTGCAAGGGAAACTGCCACTTTTAAACCATCAGATCTTGTGAGAACTCCCTCACTACCATGAGAACAGCATGGGGGAAAATACCCCCATGATCCAGTCACCTCCCACCAGGTCCCTCCCCTGATTACAATTTAAGATGAGATTTGGGTGGGGACACACAGCCAAACCATATCAACTATTATGTTATAACTATTTATATAATATAACAAAAGTTATAACATAATAGTTGATATATGTATATTATATATAGTATATATATTATGTTATAACTATGTTTTATATATGTTATGTTATAACTATGGTATACCATAACAGTATATAAACACTATATAATATATAATGTATATATACATAATATATTATACATAATGCATTTGTAGTATATATTATTATGAATAGCATATATATAGTGTATATATATTTTTATGACTATGTTATAACTGGAGTACTATTTTATAACTATTATGTTATAATGTATATGGCATAAAATAGTGCTTTATGTCTCAGTTATTCAGTGGGATGTCCCATTGAATTTAAACATAAAAGAGATCAATTATAAATGATTATCCTTTCATGTCTAATCAGATGCTTTCGTACTATTTTTAATGAATATGTCAAGAAACATTATACACATTGTAAGAATAATGGGTCTGGACCTGGCGTGGTGGCTCACGCCTGTAATCCCAGCTCTTTGGGAGGCCGAGGCGGGCAGATCGCTCGGTCAGGAGATCGAGACCATCCTGCCTAACACAGTGAAACCAAGTCTCTACTAAAAATACGAAAAATTAGCCGGGCGTGGTGGTGGGCGCCTGTAGTCCCAGCTACTCAGGAGGCTGAGGCGGGAGAATGGCGTGAACCCGGGAGGCGGAGCTTGCGGTGAGCGGAGATCACCCCACTGCACTCCAGCCTGGGCGACAGAGTGAGACTCCGTCTCAAAAAAAAAAAAAAAAAGAATAATGGGTCTAAAGCCACATTTCTATTAGTGTTCTTACTAAATTTCAAATATTGTGGCCAACTTCTTGAAAATGTATTTGAGATCATCATTCTTTTTACTTTGTAATGTGGCAGAGGAAGATATCATATTAGAAAAAAGGAAGGGTGTTGGCTCAGTCATTTTATTCAATTGACCAGTTCAACAAATATTTATTCAGTACCTGCTGAATGATAGAACGTAAGATCCATGAGGGCATGGCCTAGTCTGTCTTACTTTTTGTTGTATCCTTAGCTCCCAGCAGGATGCTGGTACAATGTAGATGTTCACTTGATTTTTATTGAATAAATGAAGGAATAAGTGAGTACTTTGCAGGTACTGGAGGCACTCTGGTGAGCCTCTGTTCCTGCTTTTCTATTGCTGTGTTTAGTTGCTGTTCCTGGAATGACCTTGCTTTTCTCTGGAAGCTCCCACCTTTGTACCATATCTCCCACCTGTCTTCCCCTTGTTCTCAGCATGTAGCCCCACACTGGATGGAATTTCTCTGCCACAGTTTGGAGTTGGTCTCAGTTATCAGGCCTCTCCTTGGGGAATAAGAATGGAAAGCGACCCCATCTGTACTTCCCAATAAGCTGCCCACTAAAGCCACCCCTCCAGTGCTTGCTTTCCTGCTGCTCTTCAGGAGCCCTTATTGATAGAATTGTTGGGAAACAATCGTTAGTATTTGTGGAAAAAAATTGCTTTCTGAAAATTATGTTCAATGGTTTCGTGTTTCAAACACATAACCAAATCAGCGATTATAGTTAAACACGTATTTTAAATTATTAGCATAGCGGAGACACAGGAGAGTTGGTCATAAACAGGTTTGTAACCTTGGACTGCATCTTTTCCACAGCAACTGTTAAAGTGGACATTTTAAAGAACAAGCCAGAATGCATCCAGGCCATGGGTGACCTGAGGACTCTAAGAAGTCAGGTAAACGTAGGGCAGGACAGACAACCTGTGGCCTAGAAAAGAGCATCATTTTCTCAGCAGGTGTGAGTTAGATTTGTACAGAAAGGCATTTTGAGATGTTTTATAAGAGAGTAATTTGAGAAATAGAGTGTCTTCATCTCAGCATGACATGGCGCAGAACTCATTCTCAATCTCCTCTCTGACTTTAGCAGGGATTAACTCCTGCTGTTTCTGAGATGGTCTGGAGATACCTTTTATATTCAACTAAGTGCTTCTTTGGGCATTTAAGTATGAGCATGGGAAGATTTTAGAAATGTTTACTTTTTCTAATATCCAGTATGAACATCTGAAAGAAAAAGTGTCCATTCATTTTGGCAAAACTACTAATAATTGGCCCAGATGATAGCTCGCAAGTCAATATCCTATGGAAATGATATGAGGATGATATCAGCATACCTGGGGAAGGTTCCCCTAGGGATTCCTCTGATTTCTAAGAATTTGCTCTGCCTAGAGTCATAGAGCATAAAGCTAGAAAGAGTTGCTTTTCAGAGGTGAAATCACAGGCACAGAGTTATGAATAAATGCCATAGGTTTTGATTTCTAAGAGATGTGTATTGTTGTCTGGGTTAAATTAATAAGTATTAGGTGTTTCATTCATTCAATAAATTGTATTAAGTGCAATATATACTAGGCATTAATTAAGGCATATAGCAGTGAACAAAAAAACTCTGACCTCATGGAGTTTTCATTCCAGTGTGGGAATCAGACAATAAATTGATGGTCCAGATAGTGATAGTGATACTATAGAGAAAAAGCAGGATAAGGGAACGGAAGCATGTGTTGTTGTTGATATTTGTCATATAAGAGCCTTATTTGCAAGCAGCAGAAGCTAGTATAGTTTGGATGTCTCCTCCAAATCTCATGTTGAGATATAATCCCCAATGTTGGAGTTGGGGACTGGTGGGAGGTGTTTGGGTTATGGACGTGGATCCCTCATCGCTTGGTACTGTTCTTGTGATAGTGCGTTCTTGCGAGATCTGATTGTTGTAAAGTGTGGCACCTCCCCACCCCTACTTTTTCTCCCTCTTGCTCCCACTTCTATCATGTGAGATGCTTGTTCCCGCTTCCCCTTCCATCATGACTGTAAGCTTAGAAGCTCTCATCAGTAGCTGAGCAGATGCTGTTGCCATGCATCCTGTACAGCCTGCAGATCCCTGTGAGCCAATTAAACCTCATTTCTTATAAATTACCCGGTCTCAGGTATTTCTTTATAGCAATGCAAGAATGGACTAACACAGAAACTGATTCTGGTTGACTGACCAAAAAAGGAATTAAATAAAAATAACTTTGGATGCTTTACAAGATTATCAGGAGGAGTAGACAAGAAAGGCCAAGGATGGACTTCCAGGAACAGTGTCCCAAGGGACACTGCACAACTGATCTGATACCTGATACCACCTGCCACCACCTCCACCACTGAGAATGAGATACCACAGCTTGTACTGCTGCCACTTCTGTGGCAGGAACTCAAATTTGCATTTTCTGCTACTGCACAGCTGCCAGAAAGAGAATGAGAAAGAGAATTTCCCGTCCTTTCCTCATGTATTACTAGTTCATGAGTCTGGCTGCTAATGCAAGTGCCTGAACATTGACAGTGCTACTTTACAGATTTGTTTCAAGATTAAGTGAGTTAGAGCTAATAAACAAATTCAGCAAAGCTGCAGAAAAATCAACATACAGAAATCAGTTGTGTGTCTATGCACTAGCAATAAACAACCTGAAAAGGAAATTAAGAAAAACAATTTCATTTAAAATTGCATCAAAAAGAATAAAATACTTAGGAATAAATTTAACCAAGAAGGCAAAAGATGTGTATGTTGAAAACTGTAAAACAGCTGAAAGACATTAAAGATGACCTAAATAAATGGAAAGACATTCTATGTTCATGGATTGCAAGACTTAACATTAATATGATAGTACTACCCAAAGTGATCTACAAATTCCATGCAATCCCTATCAAAATTCCAATGGAGATTTTTATTTAAATTATTTAGAAATAGAAAAACATATCCTAAAATCCATGTAGAAACTCAAAGGATTCCCAAATAACCAAAACAATCTTGAAAAAGAACCAATTCAAATGTTCATACTCCTGATTTTAGAACTTACTACAAAATGACACTAATAAAAACAGTGTGGTACTGGCATACAGATAGGCATATAAACTGATGGAATTGAAAAGCGTACCAAGAAATAAACTCTTACATGTATGGTCAACTGATTTTCAACAAAAATGCCAAGATCATTCAATGGAGCAAGGAGTTTTTTCAACAAATTGTTGTGGGAAAACTAGATATTCACATGCAAAAGGATGAAATTGAGCACACACCTTACACTGTATTTAAAAATTAACTCAATATAGATCAAAGACAGACATGTAAGAGCTAAAGCTATAAAATTCAGAAGAAAACATAAGGCAAAATATTCATGACCTTAGATTTGGTAATGGTTTCTTAAATATGACACAAAAGCATAGGTAAAAAAAGAAAATATAGATAAATTGGACCTCATCAAAATTAAATTTTTTTTGTGCATCAAAGCCACTATCAGGAGAGTGATCAGACAACTTACAGAAATGGGAGAAAATAGTTGTAAATCAATCATATATATATACACACACACACATCATATATACTATTATATATATAATTATATGTGATTAGTATATATGATATATATGGTTAATATCCAGAATATATGAAGAATTAAAAGTCATCATCACCAACAAAAGACCAACCCAATTAAAAAATGGGCAAAGGACTTGAAAAGAAATTTCTCCAAGAAAGATGTACAAATGGCCAATAGGCACATGAAAAGATGTTCAACACCATTAGAGCAATGTAAATCAAAACCACGATGAGGTATCACTTTATACCCATCATAATGGTTGTTATTTAAAAAATGAAAAATGATATGTTTTGGCAAAAATGTGCAGAAATTGAAACTCATGCATTGCTGGTAGGAATGTAAAATAGTATAGCGGTTGTTAATACAGTTTGGTGTTTCCTCAGAAAGTGAAACATAGAATTACCATATGACTCAGCAATTTTATTCCTAAATAATCGAAAACAGAGAAATGGATACTTGTATACCAGTGTTCATAGCAGCATTATTCACAATGGCTAAAAACAAAAACTCAGTGCCATCAATAGGTGAATGGATAAATATATATATATATATAAAACCGAATATGATTCAATCATAAAAAGGAATGGAGTTTGATACAATGTGGATGAACCATGGAAATATTATGCCAAGTAAAATAAACCAGACACGAAAGAGCAAATATTATGTACTTCCACTAATATGCAGTGTGATGGTTCATTTTGTGCCAACTTGATTGGGCTAAGGGATATCCAGATAGCTGGTTAAACATTGTTTCTGGATGTGTCAGTGAGAACATTTTTAAAAGAGATTAGCATTAGCTGTTCTTTGCTCAGCAGACTGAATAAAAATCATCTGTCCTTATCAATGGGGGTGGGCATCATCTAAATTGTTTATTGTATGAGCCTACATAGAACAAATGAGTGGAAAAAAGATGAATTTTCACTCTGCTTGAACTAAGATGTCATCTCTTGCGCTTGGACATTGGCTTGCTGTTTCTCAAGCCTTTGGACTTGGACTGGGAGTTACACCAGTGGTTTGCTTGATTTTCAAACCTCTGGGTTTGAACTGAAACTATACCACTGGCTTTCCTGGGCCTCCAGCTTGTAGACAGCAGATCAAGGGACTTCTTATACTAAATCTGTTTCTACTTATCTATATATATCCTATCGGTTCTGTTTCTCTGGAGAACCCTGATTACCACATGTAGTATTTGAATTGCCAAATTCATAAAGAGAGGAAGTAGAATAGAGGTTACCAGGGGCTGGGGAGAAAGTAATAATTGGGAGTTATAGATTAATGGATGCAGAGTTTCTGTTTGGGATGATGAAAAGTTCTGGAAATAGTGGTGATGATTATTGAGCATTGTGTATGTACGTAATATCCGTTAATTATACACTCAGAAATAGTTAATGCAGTAAATTGTATGCTCTGTATATTATACCATAATTAAAAATAAAGATTAAATGAGGTAAAACGCTTAGAACTTTGCCTGGAACATAGTTAAATGCTGTATAAGTGGTAGCTATTATTATTTCGTGCCAGATACTGGGGATGCAACCATGACTAAGGGAGCAGGGAGGAAAGACAGATCTCTTATATCACATACAGAGGAATAAAAATCAGACAGTAGAACCTTCAGCAGCAATGATGGAGGCTGGCAACAGTGGAATAACATCATTAATGTAATGGGAGTTACAACAATCTAGTGTTGTGTACCTAGCAAAATGATCTTACAAGAATAGAAGTGAAATTAAGATATTCTAAGATAAGCAAAAACTGAGAGATTTCTCTGCCAACAGACCATGATGAAAGGAGTTTCCAAAGATTGTGTTTCAGGAAAGAGCACAATGGCCCCAGAGAGATCTAAGGTACAAGGCGATATGAAAACAGAGAAAACTGGGAGAGTCGCTGACACAACGCATGCTGCCCAGCTGCATCAGACTGAGCCTCGTGAATTCTCTGGGCTCTATATCTTCATGGACAATGGATGCACTGAGGAGCCCCCTGCCCCTGTGACCTTCTACCCTGAGTAGAACGTTTTCTGCGTCAAAACTGATTGGGTAGCTTGTTGAATGAATATCAAATACTGGGAAGAAGGAAGAGGAACATACAGTGGAATTTTTACATTTTTCTTTCATTGAAAGGGAAGGATGGAACGGGTTAACAAGTCCTTGGACAATCAAGGTAACAGAATTCAGAAGAAAGACATCAAATGCTTCCAGAACCACAATAAGAGATATGTAGAAAAGAGAATATAAAGCAGCAATTCACCTGAAATTTGACTTCTAGAAGGAAAAGATTCATTTATTCCTCCTTTCCTTTGGCCTCCCTCCTCAGAGGAGAGCAGATCCTGAGAAGATACATGTCACGATGGGGAACAGAGTCATTGTGGATCTGACTCTTTAATGATATTTTGCATATAGTCAAATTCCACTTTCTACTCCTAAATACAGAAAGAAATGGGAATCTGTAGCAGTCTTCTCAGTCCTGCTGAGTAGGGGGGATGCTTAAATCCCCCACCCCCAACCCATTCCCCATATTGTTTTATACAGTTCAAGGCTATGGCCCCTCTGGTGTCATCTTCCTCCCTTACCAGTTTCTCTCAAGAGCCCCTATTTCCTGCTCTGGTAAGAGGGATTTGGGGATGATGGAACATTCCCCCTGGCATGGGTCAGGTTTTCCAGATTGAGTTGCCAAGCACAACTGTCATCTGTCTCAATTTGGACCATGGGCTAAACTCAACCCCAGGGGCTGGAAAGCAAGCACAGCCCATACCCAAGCTTGCTTATGTGGAGCCTGGGCCACCAGTCTTCCCAGAATCTTTGGTCCCAACCAAGGCTACCCCTGGCTGCCTGCATGACCCTATTCTATTCTGGCCTGAGAAGGAGGAGGAGGCGGAGGAGGCAGAGCAGGGAGAACACTGTAGGTTTTGACCAAGACTAGAAAACCATGCATATGTCTTATTAAAGTCTAGGAGGTTCTCTGGGCCAGAGAGAATACAATAATCATTCATGTTGTGTCTCTTCATTTCCATTTGGAGTTTGGGGAGACCTTCATCAATATAAGGCAAGAGCAGTAGAGTAGAAAAGGTAGTATGTCCTTTTATTCTGAGTGTGTGAAATATTTCAGGCATCTAAAAGTCTAGAGAAAACTATAACAAACTTGTGTACCCATCATTCATCTTAAGAATAAACATTTTGCAAATACAAATGCAGTAGAATCCCATTTTCAAGGAGAGAAAGAAGAGGTTGGGGAAGAGGGAGAGAGAAAGAGAGTGTACTTGACAAGCACCCAAGTTTCCCCACAGCTTAACAGCGGCATGGGGCAGGGGATCCAGAATTCCCAGTTTGATGCAGAGTGGGGTGTAGGAATGCTATAGGAGCCAGGCCCAGGAGTAGCCTGGGGTTTAGGCACTGACCCCACCCATCTGGAGGTCTGTTGGGACCTGTTACATCAGCTATGGAGAAAACAGGGAGAGAGATCAAAGCAGAAAGGCCAGACAGGAAGAGACTCTCCAGAGGCCAGGAATGGCCTAGCAGATGGCACTCAGAGTTATCACCCCCCCTTCTCTGGCACCAAGGAAAAATTTTTCTCCTGCAAAGCTCCACGCTGGAGGGGCAGAGTAGGGTGCACACTTAAGAGTGGAGGACACTCTGAAAATGACTTTAACATTTGAAATAATTGGGTTTAAATTCTGAATTGGCTGAGCAATTATCTAAAAAGAGATTATTTTAAACCTTGTAAGTTACCTTGCAGTGTTAAGATAAATTGTTTACTGCAAGTTGAGTTGGATTAAGAAAGTAACATTAAATGTGTTAAAAAAGAAAAAAAGAGAGAGGAAAGGGAAGGGAATATCAGTTAGAAAAGTGAGAGGGACGTCTCAGGACTTTGAAAAGGTATGATGGCAGAGCGCAGTCTTGTTTTCATTCATCTGTTCATTTGACAAACATTTCTCGAGTACCTCTGACATATTAGGTATTGTTCTCGGTATTAGAGATAGACAGTGAGCAAGACGAAAGATAGTTTCCAGTATTAGAGCTTACATTCCAGTAGGGAGAGACCAAGCCACTGCTAGGATATATGGAGCCTCTGTTTAAATGTACAATGGGTAGAAGAGGACACTTTCTCCTGTATGATGCAACCGCCATCCCTGGTTGACAAGAGGGATGTTGGCTTGAGGCCAACCCACTCCTCTTCCCCTTGGCAAGGCTTGCACTGAACAATCACATATAGAGGTTCTGGACAAGACAGGTAATACACAAAGTGAATAAATAAAATAAATGGCAGTTCGATGGTTGTAAAGAACCCAAGGGGAGTAAGCGTGAGCATGTCTGTGCATGTGTGCACGAGGGTGTGTGTGTAGGGTGGTAACTTTTAAAATATGGTGGTCACTGGAAGCTAATAATAGTATTTAGCAAAGAGGTGAAGGAGATGAAGCATTAAGTCATGAAGATATTTGGAGGAAGTGTGTCCAGGGAGAGGGAACAGCAAGTGCAAAGATCTTGAGGCAATAGCAAGCCCGGGATATTGAAGGGACAGTAAAGGGGCTGGACTAGAGCAGGTGAAAGGAAGATAGTAGGTGACAGGTACGTGGGTACATCCATATTTACTTAGGACAATTCAGGTTTATACTTGAAGTTCCAGAATAATTATTACTAGGCTCCCCTTTCGCACTAGAAGTGTTCACAAATGGTCAAAGCGGTTCCAGATCCTGTTCAGCCTGGTAGGAAGGCACTGGGGATTTGAATGGGATGTGGAGCTGTGGGAGGGCTGTGAACTGCGAGCTGCAGGATGTGACTTTGGTTTAACGGGACTGTCCATGCTAACTTCTTGGAGGTGGAGGAAGAGCTAGCGGTTAGGGATTTTTCCCAAGAGATTGGGGTTCAGGTGCATGGGCAGCCTGTCTGGTCCTGAGGATGCCCTCCCAGGTCTAGCACTTGGAGTCTCGGTCAACAGTCCGACATGCATATGAGTGTTCAACCACTTCAAAGCTAGCTGCACCAAAAGCAACTGGGGAAAGGGAGTGCAATTGCAGTCTGCTTTGAGTCTTTAGAGCAATCCTATGTTGCAAGAGCAGTTGCTGTATTTTGGATCATGCTAACTCTCTGTAGCATAATCTTTTTTGTGATAAACTCTATGCCTGAGATCAAAAGATTACATTAAAAATGATTTCAGGAAGACTGCCAGTGGTAGAGGACTTTGAGCACTTAACCAGAGTCATTCGTTTTCCCATGGTGGATGTGACATTGATCAGTTGAGTTTTAGGAGTTAGCATTTTGGGAGAGCAGAGATAAGTCCATGTTATTCAGCTGGAGATAACTGGGAATCAGAGCAAGAAGGGTACTGATAAGGTCAGTTCAGTTCCGGAGTAGAGGTTGGAACTGCCACCGAGCTCTTAACTGTATTCCACATCACCTACAAATGTGATGCTGAGGCTGCTAGTACCAGCTTTGAGGTGGCTACTGCTTGAGTGTGTGACAAACACAAGCAGAATAATTGGTTAAGGATAGTGATTATGCAGACAGACCCTAGGATCAGACAGCCTGAGTTCAAATCCTGGCTTTGCCAATTTATGTCCTGGGATTTTCTGAGAAATGTCTTATCTTTCTGCAACTCAGCTTTCTCATCTGCATATGTGGTAATAATAACACCAACCTAATACGGTTGTTGTGGGAATCAAGTGAGTTAGATGTGAAATGCCTAGAACCGTGCTGCCAGGCATGCTAGCTGTTACTATTATTTCCTTTGACCAATGTTGTTTATATTTGTGTCTCTTTTTAATGAAGCTGAGCCTTTTTGATCACAGTGATCAGCATGCTATAGTCTTTCTGGTTTGGGAAGTAGGTGAATAATTTCCTTTGAGGTTCTCTTTATATCCATCACCAAAGGTTGATTTTAAGCAAAGTGTGAGGGTAGCTTCCATGGCAATTTAGCCTTTGTCTCAAGTTACCATTCTCCTTACAAGTATGAAAAAAATCAAAATTAAACTTGGGTCAAATTTCAAAGTAAAACTTTTATTTTTAAGATATAAATCTGATTGGGCAAGTGAAATTTAGAATTGTGGTAAACAAAAATGGATCATTCTCAGAAAAATAAGGTGAGATTCTCCAATAAAGAAGAGAATATCATTGCAATTTATTACCATTTAAAAACATTATTATTATATGGATGTATTTGTGAATTCTGTTTTACCTGCGAAGCTTTCATATGCTACTAATGGGTTACTTTTAACACAAGAATAAGTACATCTCAAGGAAGACCATATCTGGATTCATTACTCATCATAAGTATAATTATTGTTTAACAATATTATGAAGGGCTGGTGATGAGATGCAGGTGTTTAAACATGCAGTGCCAATAGATTTGACACGGTATTCAGTTCCAGGCGTATACATTTTTAAAGATTTCTATTCACCAAGGGGACAATAAAACCCCACACAATGGTAAGTATGTTTGCTAAAAACATGAAGTGACTGGTTAATTTTTAGTCTTTGGATTTTAAAATGGAATATTTCTTTTTTCAGCAATAGTGTTTCTTAACTTAGTAGTCTATACACTATATTTTAGGGTAAAAAAATGAAACGTGGATGTATTGATCAAGTCCACCAATTTGGGGGTTTCAAACCGTCTCTGGGTTTTGGGACAAACTGTATGCAGTTCAATTTCAGACTGAGCAAATAAAATACAAAGTGGAGGCTTGACGAGCATTTTTACCTGAAATTATTGGTACTTAGTAAAGATGTACCCCAACCCTCTAGCTTCCCAGATGAGAAGACTGAGGCTACAGACGACCATGATTTGCATGATTTGCTCAAGAAAATTCGGCTGGTGGTTCAGACACTTCAGACACGAACCTAGGTCTCCTAATTTTTATGTCTGAACTCTTCCCAGTGTGTTACATGGCCTCCTGTTAACCCTGAGGCTCTAATTGTTTGAATTCTTGATTCACTATATCCAGTCAATAGACATCTTTGAATACCTATTGTGTGCTATGTTCTGTGCATGTTCTAGCTCTGGGATAACTGTGTAATTCCTTGACTTGATTGGATGTAACTATTCTGCTCTTTAGTCTCTGATTGGTTCATGCTTTCTTTGATGTATGCATGTTAATGTTTTGATGTTTGTGTCCTGTCTTGAATGGTTAGCCCTCAGTCAAGAAGGAGTGGGAGAAACCACCATTTACTTAATACTGCTGTGTATTTTACATGTGTTACCTTTATAAAAAGATTATGAAGCTGGTACTTCACCCTAGACGAAGATAAGCTAAATCACTTGATAAGGTTAAATATCTTTTAAGTGACAGTATGGTAGATTAGTTCACCCACCGCTTAATGTAGTGCCTGGTATACAAACCACTTGAATTGTGTTGAATGAATGCTGGGCTTTAAACTCAGACGTAGGTGGCTCCAGTGTTCTTTTCACCATATTTAGTTGCCTTTTTGTTTCTCCTAGGGTCAGGAGCACCCCCCACTTTTTTTTTGAATGTCGCTTAGCATGTAAGCAGTCATTTAATAAATATCTTTTGCTTATGATGACATATAAATTCCTCAGTGCTTACATAGCTGCTATTACAGTTTTTTTAAGAAGAAGAAATTATGTACTTGTAAAATTAATTTTTGAAGTTGTCATTGGAAGATCAAGACAAATAACAACACTTTGAATAGTGCTATGAATACCATTCAAAACGCTGGAGTCATGAAAATCTACCCACTGCATCCCTGTAACCACTGCTCTGGGCTTGAGACAGTTCTTTCTGCCCTGTGGCTCTCACACACTTCGGGTGATTTTCCTTGTCCATGATATGATGACAGCACCTAGGCTCTGCTTATTTAAACAATTTACATGGATGGGTGATTTTAGCCCAATCATGATAGCTTACATTGCTCTGGACTAGGCACCTTATTGGTATTATCTCATTTTAGTACTTTCAACAGTTTTTCAAAATACTTTGTTATTTTATAGGCAAGGAAAGTTGAATTCAAGAGTGGTTAAGTATAGGCGAACTTCTGTAATGCAGGCTGAACTGCTATGTCATTTATGTTGGCTATGGTTTATTGCCATACTCCCAGTTATTTGCTTACTTATTCACTGATTTTCAAAAATGTGTATTAGTTGTTATTATATGATGGTGAGCCAGAGAAACACAAATCAATTTTTGCCAAGAGTGCATTTATACTCTCTCACATGTACAGAGATACATGTACAAGGTTTATTCATTGCACCATTCTTTATGATAGTAATAAACCAGAAGCAACCTATATATTTAACAGCTGGGGATTGTTTCAATGCATTCTTAATATTATAGAATACTATGCCCTTTTAAAAAGAATGAGGCCAGGCGCAGTGGCTCAAGCCTGTAATCCCAGCACTTTGGGAGGCCAAAATAGGTGGATCACCTGAGGTCAGGAGTTGGAGACCAGCCTGACTAACATGGTGAAACCCTGTCTCTACTAAAAATACAAAAAAATTAGCCAAGCATGGTGGCAGGCACCTGTAATCTCAGCTACTCGAGTGGCTGAGGCAAGAGAATTGCAATGAGCCAAGATTGCACCAATGCACTCCAGCCTGGGCAACAGAGCAAGACTCCATCTCAAAAAAAGAAAAAAAAAAAAAGAATGAGTCAGAACACTATATCCTGAAGAGCAAATTTATACATATAAGAAACATGGCACAGGCAGTAAGTATCATATTGTGACAAGGACAATGTACAGGTGCATATTCCTGATCTTGACCTCTTCTGATCTTGACTGGTCTTTGAAGAGCAAAGTGTCTTTGCTGCTTGGGCCAGCCATGCCAGGTTGGTTTGTTGGGTTAATCAGTGATGGGTATAGAGAAGAAGTGAAAGAACTCTAGAAAGGTTAGTGATTTTGGAGTGAACTGAAGTGACTGAGGAAAAAGATAAACATATAGGAAAGGTAGGAGAAAAGAGGGGAAAGACTAGAACTAGAATAGATTGAATTTTGAAGAGACAGCTTTTTGGGATGGAAGAGAAAGAAAGGTAGGAAGAAGCAGGGGAATGATTAACTGTCCTTTAGCAAGTTTAGCCACCTGCTCTCAGCTATAATTTCTGCACCTGTGAAATAGGCACCGTGCTCTTTATTTCATGGTATTGTAGCAAGCATTTGGTGCGTTGATTTAAACATCTAGCTCAGTGCCATGGAGATGTACATCTATTTCTACTATATTTGGTCTTCTTCTTTAGTAGATCTCATTAGGGTCAAAGCAAAAGCATATGGGCTAAGGCCAGGGGTTTTGGGGCAGGAAATACACTGCTCATCTGCTCTACTTTTTTCTGCTTTGTGTCTGCTACTGACTTGACTCTTTAGTCTTCTGCTACTATTGCCTTAGCATCTTTGTAAACATAATCTCCATGAATCTCCAAAGTCCTAATAATCTAACATGGTTCTACAATGCTGACGTGGACATTTTGTTACTAAAATATAAAAGCAATCGGAAGTAGATGAAATCAGCCATAGAAATTGTGAAGCACAATTTTCTATTCTAGTCATTTGGCCAAAGTAGAAAGAGAATTACTAATTTTTCATGAGGATAGAAAATAGAAACAAAAAAAAGCCATGATTCCATCTTTTACTTTGCTAGTACAATAACCAATGGATTGGTGGCACCTGCTACTCACAGTTCTCAATTGTATATATTTAGTGGTGATTCTGTCAGGCTACTCTAAATTCTCTAAAATTCTCTATGAATATTGTCATTTAATTGTCATAACTATCCAATCAAGTAGAGACTATTATTATCTTCACTGTACAGATGAGGAGACTGAGGCAGAGAAAGAGAAAGCAAATTTTTTTTTTTTTTGAGACGGAGTCTCACTCTGTTGCCCAGGTTGGAGTGCAGTGGCGTGATCTTGGCTCACTGCAAGATCCGCCTCCCAGGTTCATGCCATTCTCCTGCCTCAGCCTCCCGAGTAGCTGGGACTAAAAGCACCCACCACCATGCCTGGCTAATTTTTTATATTTTTAGTAGAGACGGGGTTTCACCATGTTAGCCAGGATGGTCTCGATCTCCTGACCTCATGATCCGCCTGCCTCGGCCTCCCAAAGTTCCGGGGTTACAGGCGTGAGCCACCAACCCGGCCCAAGATAAAGCAATTTGCCCAAGTGCCAGATCCAGGATCCAATCTGGGCAGTCTAGCTCCAGCGTCTGTGCTTTGGTTCACTGCACACATTGCTTCTGAGTGCTGATGAGTACACCTATTTATTATTGCTGTTGTTGTTGTCATCATCAACAATGTTTTCCCCTTTCTTTTCCCTCCCTCAAATAAACCTCAGCTACAAGTAAGAGCTCAAGAGAAGAGTACGGAAAGGTGGGGAGTGTGCTAATTACTGATTCTAAGAGCTTTGCTTGGGACGCCTTCACCCTGTGCTTGCATCCTTTGACAATTGCATTAACCTGTCAATGTGCTCAGCTCTATAGAACATTCCATACTTCTCTAAGATCTTTTGGATTCTCCATACTGTCTTAAGAACCATGAGAAGTAGGAAGGGAAGGGAACATTGTTCCTGTTTGACTAGTGTTCAGTTTAGTGATTTGCTCAATGTTGGGGAGTTGTTAGTGCCTGAGCCAGCAGTGTAACTACTCTGACGAGTCCTAATACATTTCCTTTTGCTTCAGGATAGTGTCAGAATGAGTATTTCTGTAATACAAGCAGCTCGAGACATATCACAGAAAATAAGTTTTCTGAGAACCCAGAGGGGAAAAATTATTTGTACTAGAGGTTAGAAATTTGAGAGATAGAACCAATTCAGATTACAAGGATGAATATCAGGTACCCTATATATACAATTTGGAGTGATGGGAGCCAGATGGACAAGTTATTTAACCACTCTGTCACTCATTTTCCACATCTGTAGGATGGGGATAATAAAGTACTGATTTCTTAAGGTTATTGTGAGGATTTGATGAATTAAAAATGTCTAAAGTGTTTAGAACAGTGCCTGGTCTGTAGCAGGTACTCAATAACATGTTAGTTGCTGTTAGTTTATAATAAGCAAGAAAATAAAATGTACTTTTAAATAAAACATATACTTAAGGAAAATAATGCTATTTTTCTCTTTCAAGAGCAGTTGCTTCTTTATGGTTTGGAGAATCTCAGCTAACTTACCTTGCAAATTTTACAACTTGATTTTATTCATCCTCATAATTAGATTTGGTTTTATACAACAAAGTTCTAATTCCTCGTTTAAATAATTTCCCCACTCTGGGTTTCCAGCATTTATTCTTTATGATACTTACCGACATTACTTGTATTCAGCAATGAGCACTCTGACGCCATCCTGCTTTTGCCAAGAAGTGCTTTTCAAATTTCAGATTTTTCCTGCAGCATAAGATTGAGAAATAACAGTTTACAAAAAAAAAATCTCACAGAAGCTTAACATCTGTTTATGCAGTGACCTCAATAGGTAACTTTGAGTCTCCTTTAGTAAATTTTCTATGAAAATTCTGGTTGGTCTACTTCTTATTTGTTAGAAATAACTTTCACTGGAGGAAGTCAGGCCAAAAACCTTGCCAGCATATTTAACTTCTTGTCCTTTAAGAAATTATACTTTGATTTTAGAGGTTCAACTTTACTAGATAATGAAATTATCATGGTGGAACAAGCCATAGAAATAATAAATACAGTAATTCTTCTTTGCCTATTGTGTGCTTTTGCTATTCATAAATTTTAGGGCCTTAGATATTAGATACACTTACGTAAGGCCTCACTAACGGTAATTATCTTTTGGCTAAAGAAAAAGCCCAAACCAATGCTAAGCTGCATTATCGCTTGGCTTCTGACATGAGCTGATAATCAGATTTTCTTGCTTAAATCCATGGTGCTCGAACAATGCTACCCACTGTCTGTGCTTCCCGATATTACCCTTAATTAGAAAGAACAGAAACACAAATCTGAATTATTTCAAAATCTGGTTTCCATGGTCAGTGGTTTGAAGGGCTTAACTTTATTATAAATAAACCTGGCTTTATTGGCTAATGAAATCTGAAATGCGAAGCCTGGGATGGAAGGGAGGGTAATACTCTGATGTTTACACATCCAAATATCCAGTGTGGGCAAAGTGTATTGTAATAAATCATTGGATAATTGAATTATGATTCCTTTGTCCAAGCACGATCCAAACCCCATCGCTACAGAGAACCTGGAAGGAACTTGAATTTATGTTTTCTTAAGAAGCAACATCTTTAGGTCTAGTAATATATCTATCAATAGCTGTCAAGGAGATGTTGATCTATTTTACATTTCCTCCCAAGTTAGTATTTTTTTTTCCTTTGACACCTTAGAGCACATAGTTAGAAGCGTGTGATGGTCTGGCCTTGTATCCATATGCATCTTCAATGTATCATTCTCAAATATTCACACTGAGCTCTTTTTGCAGCATAGAATAATGTGTGGGCTGGTGTCTGAGGGAGGCAGATAATGAGATGGGACATCAGTTGTATTTTTATTTATGCTCTTGTAAAGAGAAAGCTAACAATAGGTGAGGATGCCTGTTCCCATTGGGGTGGATAATTAATAACTAAGTGGAGATAGTAACTTTGTGCTTCCCCTGGAAAACAACTTCAGAAAGCTGATTTCTAGAACCGTGATCACATATAAAACCTCAGATGATATTGAGAATTGTGATTTTTGTCTATATTTATATCTATATATCTACGTATCTCCTTCTTCTCTGTGGGTGGTGGAGACCTAAGTGTCTATGTGTGTGTGTGTGTAAACCGTAGTCTTCACCTTTTTCATTCACTGTTTAATTTTTTTAAAACCCTATCTTTTCTTCATTTGCAAACATTATCTTTTCCCTTTCAATTTTCATTGATATTTTCTTTCCATTCATTTGCTTTCCACTTCTGTGCTAGGCACTTTGTGGTTGCTTTTTCACTTAAACATTCACAGCAACAATTGTTACTCTTAAATCTCATTTTCCAGATCAAGCTATTGAAGCTTAGGGAGGTGAAGTAATTTTCCTGGGATCACATAGCCAGTAAATGGTAGAGGCAGGATTCCAACTCAGGTACGAATTCCAAATCCCATAATCTAGAGCATATGTTATACTGCTCTGCCAAGCCGTGTGTTAGCTACTTTTAGATTATTCCCTTTGTCTTTATCACAATTCTGTTTCATTGGCTGAGGTAGAATCCCCTCTCTCTCCAGTGACCGGAGACCAGGCTGAATGTGTCTGAGGTCCAGGTACCTGCAACTTAAGTGATTCCTCATGGGGTCCAGGATTTGCCTTGGATGGGGATAGTGAGGCAAGAAGCATGGCCATTACTACTTTCAGGGAGAATAATCATAGAGACAAGTTGGTGCCTATGGTGATCCTGGTAAAAAGAATTGGGAGGGTGCCTTTTGAAGAAGCTGGATGGATACTCCAGGACCGCGAGATGGAAAGCCACAGGACAAAAAAAATCATCCAAATCTAGACAGTGTAGACGAGTGAGCAGTGAGGGTATCTGGTCAAACATGGTAGACTGGCCATACTTATTTATATCCCCTTCCCTAAACTCTGTAAAATTAGTGGTGAAACAGAGCCTCTGAATGGTATGCTGCAAATAGGTTGCATGTGGGCAGAAATATAAATTTATTGAGTCCTTTTGGTGGTTGTGTAGGAGCTGGAATAGCCAGGTCAGCTCAGGCTAGTTCCCCCTGGCTTTGAGTAGCTTCTTCCATTTACCCCAGCATTCCCTACAACTATTATCCATTTTTAATGTCACATGATTTTGAAAGATTGAAACGCCCTGCTTTAAAACAAAATGCATTCACACACAAGGATAAAGACAAAGAGAGAAGACTATGCTAGGTGAGGAATTTCAACAATTTTTGGAAAGCTGTGAAGTTGGTTAAAAAGTGATAACTGAGTTAACAGAATGAAGTGACTCCCAACTTCAGTCTACACAGGGGCCTGATGAGGAGAAGTGAGTCAATTCATGCTACCCCCCAGAAAAACCTGGGTCCTGAAGGTTCTCCATATCTTCTAAACCAGGGAGTGCACACAGGGCTTAGAACAGGGGCCTGGTGAGGGGCTGGATGCAGAGTTCTATTTCCTCTTGGCTCACCCTGCAGAGTTGGGCCAAAGATTTATTATCTGGCAAAATTAGGCCAGAAGGACTCCCAGCTCGGGGATGAGGTGGGGATTCCAAGTGGGGGTTTCTTGAAGTTTTATATAGTGGCCTGTGGGACACTCGGGCCCTTTCCTCCTGCTCTCTACCCAGAATGTTACCGGTCTGGTAAATACATTCTTGGGCTGGTGTTTGGAGGACATACCAGGGGAAAGCCTTTCCCATTCTGACGGTGAGGGACCTGTCATTGGAAAGGTAGGCTGGCTGCCCCATCATGCTTCAGGGAAGTCCACTGGTCATAAGCCCTGACTGAGTGAATCCAGAGCTGCAGTCAGCCTTTCAGTGCCTTATTGTTAAATATGAATGACAGTCAAGGCTCTGAAGGATCCTTGAGGAAGGCTTTTAACATAAGATAAATGAAAACAAGCAGAAGAGAGAAGCTCAGAAGACACTGAAACTACACAGGGAACCAAACAATATGAACACAAATCTAACACTACTAAGGCAAGCCCAGACCCTAAGATCAAAATACTCAGGAATAAGGGAAGAGAGAACATCCATTAAATAAGAACAGGATGCCATATTTTAAAAAGTGACAGCAACAAGAAGAAATAGACAGGAATTAAATGTGTGAAAACCAAGATTTTTAAAAAGAGCAGCATAAGAGTGAAAAGATAAGTTAAAGGAAGCCCTTAGAAAGTAGAAAGAAAAAGCTTTAAAAATGGAAGGAGAGAGAGGGGAGAGAGCAAGAGAGCGAGAGAGTGAGAGAGAGAGAGAGAATGAGAACACAGAGGGGAGAAAATTATTCCTAAAAAAGAAAAAATATTTATAGAATTGCAAGGCAGGAATTTCCAGATTGATATGGCTTGCTCGAGTGCCCAGTATAATGAAAGAAAACCCACACTAAGACACTTTGTTATAATGTTATTTCAATAGTGACAAAGAGATCATAAAAGTTTTCAGAGATGTAAGAACAAAGAATACAAATAAAACAAACATCTCCCAGATAGCTCACAAACAAAGGAACATAATGGTATCAGACTACACCAGCTTTTGATGCTAAAAGACAGGGAAATTTTCTTTTTTTAATTATTATTTTAAGTTCTGGGATACATGTACAGAATGTGCAGGTTTGTTACATAGGTATACATGTGCCATGGTGGTTTGCTGCACCTGTCAACCTATCATCTAGGTTTTAAGCCCCGTGTGCGTTAGGTATTTGTCCTAATGCTCTCTTTCCCCTTGCCCCCCACCCCTCGACAGGCCCTGGTGTGTGATGTTCCCCTCCCTGCGTCCGTGTGTTTTCATTGTTCAACTCCCACTCTTATGAGTGAGAACATGCGGTGTTTGGTTTTCTTTTCCTGTTTTAGTTTGCTGAGAACGATGGCTTCCAGCTTCATCCATGTCCCTGCAAAGGGCACAAACTCATTATTTTTTGTCTGCATATTATTCCGTAGTATATATGTGCCACATTTTCTTTATTCAGGCTATCATTGATGGGCATTTTGGTTGGTTCCAAGTCTTTGCTATTGTAAAGAGTGCTGCACTAAACGTGTGTGTAAGTAAGACGGAAATTTTCAAAAATGTATGTGCACTTGTATAAACAATCTTCTGTCTAACTTGAGGCAATATATGGCCAATTGAATACACTCAGTAGATGGTAGATATTATTTTCTTTCCAAGTGGCAAGATTTTGGTCTCAGATTTTAAGCTTTGGTAGGAAGTGATCTTGCAGGTTAGGAGAAGGGCCACCTCCAAATGTCATGAGTGAGAAATACAGAATTCCTTCATCTGGCTGACAGCCTTTGACCTTGTCCATTTGACTATGAGAATGTAAGGCTTAGCCTTAAAAATTGTATAGAGACAGTCAGGGCAAGCTACATAATTTGTGGAGCCCAGTGTAAAATGAAAGCAGAAGAAAGGGTAGTTAATAATACTAAAATATAAAACTTTTTTCTTTATAACTATGTTATTAATTATAAAATATAATGGGGTAATAGCAATACACGAATGACAATCTGAACCTACAAGCTGAACAAATTAATATTTTGGTGTCATAATTTTCTATGATGCAATAAATAATAATATGTTGCTATGTGATATCCTAATTGATCATAAGCCGTTTTTTGGGGCTTGCTTTCTGCACATTCCTTTACTAGGTCATTATAAGTTATACTTTTAACAATTTCATCTTTAAGATTGCAAATCATTTTTGATAATTTTTACTTTGAGAAGAATCTTTTTACTGATACAACTGTCCCTAAAACTGTTGAGTATTTTACAGACTCCAACAACACTGGGATACATTTCTGATAAATTATTCTGAAATGTAAATTTTAGTACATCTAGAGCTGAAGATTCTTACAGAATAATTTTTCTAAAAAGATTTAAATTTTCATTCAAATCGGTCTTGGATAACTCTGATTTTAAATTTAAATTTATTAAATGTCATTTTTATGTTTCTCCTGACATTTCCTATAATTTTCAAGTCTTACAAGAAACGGAAAGTGGCTTTATGATTTATATGTAATTTAAAGCAATTCCATGGAGGTCTTGCTAATCCAGTGCAAATAGAGAGAGAGTCACTTCAGCTCATTACTCCATGGCTTACTACTTACATTGGCAGCAACAAAATACTTCATTTTAGTTGTAAGGGTTGTAAGTTGTAGCAAATATCATCTCTTTCATTTCTGGAATACGTAAATTACCTAGAATATTTTGGCTTAACTGTTTGTTTGGAGATTGATGCCAACTAAGACAAAGTGAGCATTGTCCTTATCAGAATCATCTTTATCAGAACTGGTCAGTTTTATCTAGAGAAAGCTTGTCCAACCTGCTTGCTCTAGGTTGAACGAGAGCAACCAGGAGCAAGCCACACATGGCCCAGGATGCAGCATGGGCCACATGCAGCCCAGGACAGCTTTGAATGTGGCTCAACACAAATTCATCAACTTTCTTAAAATATTATGAGATTTTGTGTGTGTGTGTGTGTTTTCTCATTGGTTATTTTGTGTGTTGGCGTATTTTGTGTGTGGCCCAAGATTGGACACCCCTGACCTAGAGTGAAATAAACTTCCATAAACACAGACTACATTTTGAACCCTCATCTCACAAATACAGATCTCTTGACACCAGGCAGAACAGGCAAGAAATTACAGCTTATCCAGCTCAAGCTAGCTTACCAGAGAAGTAATTCAAAGCCAAGAGATGCTTGCCTCATGCTGGTGAAATAGCTGCAGCAGCCACAGACTCTACCATCCTCACAATCAAACCTCAATCTTGGAAATCTCAAAATATCCCATTATATCTCGCTGGTTCTGAACTCCAATCCAAGCAGCCAATGGAATGTGATGTGCTCAGATCTGGGCATTTGCTTTGTCCAAACTATATGGATCAAGAACTGGGGAAGAGTAAATCCCCAAATACTCATTCATGAAAGTAGAATAAAAGTATGTAGGGAAATGAAAAGTGACAAAAGTGAAAAAAATTGGTGGCGGTAATAGAGGTTGCAGCATTCCCTTTGAATTAGAATTCAGCTTAGTGTAAGAGAGTGACTAAAGGCTTACACACACATCATTTGTCTCCAGACCCAGATTGCCATCAGCATTGACCAGATCACAATACTTGGCAGTAGGTTATTTCACCTTAACACTGCATTGCATATGCCTCAGTGGTAAGAGATTAAGAGCCATGATTAAAATCACACAGGGCATGATGATACCATATCAAATTGATAATGCTCCATGTAGAGGAAATAATAGTTTGATCCAACATTTATATATTTAGACACTTGGATTTGTATACCTAGTGGCTATTCTCAATCACAAATTGATTTTCCACTTGCTGAAATTCCATTCTTATCTTATTGTCCAGATCTTACTTTTCCACTAAAGAATGATTCTGGATTTCAGCAAAACCAATTTAGAAAACTTTCTGCCAAATAATAAGGCTGTTGAAGAAACCTACACTTTTGGTTTTGGTCTGCAGTGGTGGTACATTTTTCATGATCATGTGGGACGAATACTGAGATGGAGAAACTCCAATTTCTTTCCTTGTCCTCTAATTACAGTTGCTGCTAGGTGTCCTAAAGTTGAAACTTCCTTTACATATTGCCAAGAGAGAAAGAAAATATGCCTTCATTGGCTACTGTACTTAGAATGGCTTCTAAAACCAAGCAAGAAAACCACAGTGTTCTTGGCAGGCAAACAATTGAAAAGTACAGGTGCTGGGAGTGTGCACAGCCCCAAAATCAACATGACTTGGGAGGAGAGGGGTTAGATAACAAAGAAAGGTGCTTTTCATTCAGAGAAATTTATTTCTTTTAAATATTTGCAATCTACAGCCGATAGCACACGAGGCCACTTGGCATTATTTCCCAACAAAGGGGAGGGCTGGTGGTAATGAGCAGATGCTTGAGTGGCCTGTGGCGTGAGGTGCGCCATCCATCAAGAAGATCAATATTTACTGTTCTTGTATCTTTGTGGTGAAAGTTTGCACATCTTAAAAGAAAAAAGGTGGGGGTTGTGCTTTCATATATAGAGCATGGGTTTGACTTCAGGCAGTGAATCAACTAAAAGCCACAGTGTCTTCCCAGAGAGGAATCAGTACCCATCTCCCCTGCCCAATGAAGAAATGTAAGGTGTTTTAAGAAGCAAAATGCATCTGGTCCATGATATGGACTGTGTTTGTCTTCATTCATTCTTTTTCACTTCAGTAAATCATACCTTGATGAAAGGTGCAGTTTGAATATAATACTGCATTTCAAAATTTGTTTTAAAACATAAATTAATTCCATTCAGTTAAATTCAAAATGTATCAATGAATCAACATGACTCATGTATTAGGGACTGTGCTAGGCACTGGGCTGACCAATATGAAGAAGACGAGACTCACTGCCTTAGCTTTTTGGTGCCTCAGTTTTCCTACTTTGTCATACTTGGATCACAGAGGAGAGAGTCCTGTGAGATGGGGTTGAGGGCAAGAGATAAAAAGATGGTGGGTCATGACCAGCCTCCTATACCATAGAAAGGACTTTGTGTTTGGTTCTTTAGGTCAGAGTGTGATGGGCTGGGGATTTGTTAAAATTCAGATCCTGATCCAGCAGGTTTTAGGGTGAGGCCAGAGAATCTTCATAACTAACAAGCTCCCAGGTAACGTTGGTGATGCTGGGTCCTGAGCCACACTTGGAGAAATAAGAAGTTGATCATTTGTATCAGTCACCCGGGATGACTGCTAAGAGTGCACATCCCTAGGCTTATCCCCTTAGACATATGTGAATCAAAATTTGCATTTTAACATGTTCACCAGGTGATTTTTATGCATGATGCAGTTTGAGAACCACTGTTTAAATGGTGGGAAATCAATGAACACTATTAAGAAGGCCAGTGCCATATTTAAACTTGGGATTTAGAAAGATAATGTGAGAAAGAGAATTCAACGGAGGTGAACTGCAAGCAGGGATGTGGATGAAGATGCTAATAGGTGGCAGAGGACTGCAGAGGAGGGAATGGGACTGGAGGACATTGAGAGGGTGAGGTTGACAGGAAACGGCTGTGCATAGATCTGAGGGATAAGTGAGGAAGTGGAGGCCAGGGTGATCTTCTAGTTTCTCTTTTGGACACTTATATTGCTGGCTGTGCTTACTCTAAAATGTGGAAGCAGTATGGAATGGGGTTAAAAACATGGGCTTCAGAGTAAGAAAGAGTGGATTTGAGACTTGCTTTCAATACTTACTACTTCTGTAACTTTGATAAGTTACTTAGTTTTTCATCTGTAAAATTGGGGTAATAGTTGTTGCGGGATAGCATTAGCCCCATTTTGTAAAGGTAAAAACAGGAATAGAGAAGGTAAGTTGCCCTAGCTTGTATAGAGATCAGGATGTGGAGATGAGACTTGGATGTGGGCCTACATGATTTTATAACCCCTGCTCTGAATTGTCACCTCCAAGATTGCCCATGCACACATGCTGTCCAGATGGGCAGTGGCTCTAACCAAGTCAGGAAAAAAATTTTTGTCTCACTTTCTCTCAAGCCCTCTCTTGGAATCGCTGCTGTTCCTGTGGTACTCCTCTCTCTTTAAAATGGTAGAAATTCTCTCCCTTTCACTTATTTTAGCTCATCTGTGATGATTTTTAAGAAAGACTTTACTCAATATCAAGCAAATATAAAGAAAGAAAATGCTAGCAGCAAAAAAGTCTTATAAAGAAGGGGTTTCTGACCCTTCCTTAGTTAATCTCCCATGCTCCATGACTGGTACAACTGGATTGGGTCTCTCAAGTCCCAGCTGCCTCTTGCCATTTAAGAGGTGTGTGTCTTCTTAAGCTTCCGTCTCTGCCTCCTTGATCCACAGTAATGGAAAAGAGAGAGTTCCTACTCCAGTGCCCTCCTAGGAACCTCCCACTTAGCTTTTTTTCTGGTTTGAGGCACAAACCTTTTCCTCAGGGGTTGGGTAGAGTTGGGTGAGTGATAGGCCGTATGAAGTGACAAGATGAAAACCTTACCCTTTCAGTAGGATACTATTGCTTATGCAGGGATGATTTGATCCTGTACAGACTCAGTAAGTTAATGCTATCCTGAACACATAATATTCACAATATCCAAATAGTACTATCCATACTTTAATATCCAATATCCAAATCTATACAATATCCAAATCATCTGAATTGATAGTATCTAATCATATCCAAACAATAAAAATTACACATCAAACCAATGGGAAGTTGGTTCTGATTACATGTTTAATGAGTGGTTTTTATTTATTTATATTATTAATTTTTAACTTTTATTTTAGTTCAGGAGTACAAGTGCAGGTTTGTTATATGGTGAACTGTGTACCACAGGGGTTTGGTGTACAGACAACTTCCTCACCAGGTAATAAGCATAGTATCCCATAGGGTATTTTTTCTGATTCTTTCCCTCCTCCTCCACTCCACCCTCAAGTAGGCCCTAGTGCCTCTTGTTTCCCTTCTAGTATCCATGTTTTTTTGTTTTTAGCTTCCACTTATAAGTGAGAACATGTGGTATTTAGGCTTCTGTTTCTGTGTTAGTTTGCTTCAGATAATGGCCTCCGGCTTCATCCATATTGGTGCAAAAAACATGATCTCATTCTTTTTTATGGCTGCATAGTATTCCACGGTGTATATGTACCACATTTTCTTTATCCAGTCCAACATTGATAGGCATTTGGGTTGACTCCATGTCTTTGCTATTGTGAATAGTGCTGCAAGGAAGACACATGTGCATGTATCTTTATGTTAGAATGATTTATATTCCTTTGGGGGTATATATATCTAATAATGTGATTGCTGGATCAAATGATAATTCTATTTTAAGTTCTTTGAGAAAGTGCCATACTGCTTTCCACAATGGCTGAACTAAATTACACTCCCACCAGCAGTGTATAAGTGTTCCCTTTTCTCTGCAATCTTGCATCTGTTATTCTTTGACATTTAGTAATAGCCATTCTAACTGGTGCGAGATGGTATTTCATTGTGGTTTTGATTTGCATTTCTCTAATGATTAGTGATGTTGAGCATTTTTTCATTTGCTTGTTGGCCACATGTATGTCTTATTTTGAAAAGTTTCTGTTCAGGTCCTTTGTCCACTTTGTAATGGTGTTGTTTGTTTTTTGCTTGTAAATTTGTTTCAGTTCCTCATAGATTCTGGGTATTAGACCATTGTTGGAAGCATAGTTTGCAAATACTTTCTCCTTTTCTGTAGGTTGTCTGTTTACTCTGTTGATAGTTTCTTTTACTGTGTAGAAGCTATTTAGTTTAATTAGATCCCATTTGTCAATTTTTGTTTTTGTTGCAATTGCTTTTGGTGTCTTTCTCTTGAAATCTTTGCCAAGTCCTATGTCCAGAATGCTATTGCCTAGGTTATCTTTCTGGGTTTTTATAGTTTTAGGTTTTAGAATGAATAGTTTTTGATTTAAATCAAATTGGATCCTTACTTTTGACCTTATTTCATATTGTTTATCCAATATCTTTGTAGCTCTTTCTCCTCTTTATTTTCTGTTTTTGCCATTTCAAGGTGACAAAGCTTGATTTAAGAGCCTCCTCTCCCCCACCTTCTGACCCCCTTCCCTATCCCCTGCCTCTCCATTCTTTCACACACTGGCTGTTCCCAGTGCTTGGAATGACTCTCAACCAAGATCTCACATGGCTACTCCATCTGAGCCTGTGAATCTTTGTTTTCATGTCACCCTGTATGAAAATGTATCACCCTGTATGAAAATGTATCTCTTATTTTATGTTTTTCATCTTAGCAATAGAAAAATCACCATCCAATCTATTGTAGATATATTTGTTTTTTTTTGTCACTCTCCACTAATATGTCAATTTTGTGAGGGCAGAGACTTCTCCTCTTGTATCCCCACTGTCTAGAATAATATCTAGCATATAGTGTAACTGAATAAGATTTTTTTCAAAGAACAAATAATTAAGTTAATTAGCCTCTTTAATGAATACATAAGAGGAATGTGCATGTAAAGGTAACTAGAGTTAACTGTGATTGTTTTCAGGATTGTTTCATTTAAAGAATAAAGAAACAAAAATATTTTTAAAATGTCACTCACTTTAGGGAAGTAAGAGTGCTAGGTGGCATGAATTATTCTGGAGCCATTGACCTAATTTTTTTGTGTGTATTTTTCTCCTCTATCTTACAGCACATCCCTTGTTATGAAAGAACTTCAGTACCCTGCTCCAGATTCATTAATCACATGAAGAATTTCTCTGAATCTCCTAAATTTCGTAGTCTACACTTTCTGAATTTTCCAGGTAAATTAAGACATAATCCCAAGACAGACCAGAGTTTCCAAAGAAACTCTGGACTATGTACAGGTAATAATCATAAAGATTGTATTGAAGAACAGTTGTGCTATGTTTCAAAATGGCAACAAAAGAGGAAATTCATTGGCTCATGAAGTTAGTAAATCCAAAGATGGACTGGCTTAGGGCATGGCTGGATCCAGTGTTCACCAATAATATCATGATTAATTTCATTTTATTAATTTCCCCGTTGTCTTCACTAAGTTGGGTTTGTTTTCAAAAAGGATAGCAATAACATGCCCTGGCAGCTATAGGCATATTCGATTCTTAGAGCTTGTAATTTCAAAAGTACAGAAACGCTCTTCTTTCATTCATCTAGAACAGTCTCTACTGCTTATCCAATGGCTCTGATTGGCCAGACTTTGGTCTTATGTTCACCCCTGGAATCTAGGTAGCTGGGAGAATGGAATACACCAGTCAACATTTGCTACTTGTGTGGCAGGGGAGGTAGGCCACTTGATTGACAGCTGCACTTAAATTACACAAAATGTGTGTGTGTGTGTGTGTGTGTGTGTGTGAGAGAGAGAGACAGAAAGAGAGAGAAAGGCAGATAAAGAGAGAGAATAGTAGAAGGATGATTTCCCTAAATAAATTGATACAGGACAAGCAAAAGAACATCATTTTGTGTCAAGCCCAAAAGATATATAATTGTATTAGTTATATTCCCCATAACATTGTCACCATAGATGATTTTGACAACCTGCGACTGTCCATAAACTCCATTTTTAGGACCATTTCACTGACCTGAAAGGATATATTTAAATGTGCCTGTCCAATTTACTACCTAAGAGATAATGAAGTTTTTAGGACAACTGATAAAGCAGGTAACTGCTACATTTTCATTTGAACAACGCATTATTTTGAATGTGTTTATTCATTCACTTATATTTATATGCTAATAAAATTCATTACATATGTATTCATATCAGGGCCATTGAAAGGTTTAGTTGATTTTATAATGGCTTCAAACTCTTGGAGTAATGTAATTTTAATGAGTTTTTTGAGTATCACATTGTGGTACACACTCAAATTCTACTTAAAAAGAACTGAAAATTTTTTTGGGGGGGGATAATACATTTACATGGTTCAAAAACTAAAAATATAAAGAGGTACATAGTAGACAGTCTTTTTCCTACTTCTGCTCCAATCTGCCTCATTCCCCTTTCTCCCATGGGAAAACACTTTTACTGTTTTCTTGAGAATCCTTCAATATTTTCTCTAAGCAAAAAAGTGTGTTTATGAGCAAATGAAAGTATACAGATGAGCAGCGGTATTCTGCACCTCAGTCTTCACTTATCACTGTATCTTGGAGCTCTTCCCACGTCAGTGCATTGAGTGCTTTCTCATTCATTTTTCTTTTTTTTTCTTTCTTTATTTTCTTTTTTTTTTTATTTCCATAGTCTTTTGGGGAACAGGTGGTGTTTGGTTACATGAGTAAGTTCTTTAGTGGTGATTTGTGAGATTTTGGTGCACCCATCATCAGAGTATTATACACTGAACCCAATTTGTAGCCTTTTATCCCTCATCCACTTCCTACTATTTCCCCTGAATCCTCAAAGTCCCTCTATCATTCTTATGCCTTAGCATCCTCATAGCTTAGCTTCCACTTATGAGTGAGAACATACGACGTTTGGTTTTCCATTCCTGAGTTACTTCACTTAGAATAATAGTCTCCATTCCCATACAGGTTGCTGTGAATGCTATTAATTCATTCCTTTTTATGGCTGAGTAGTATTCCATCATATATATATCACGGTTTATCCACCCGTTGATTGATGGACATTTGGGCTGGTTCCACATTTTTGCAACTGTGAATTGTGCTTATATAAACAAGCATGTCCAAGAATCTTTTTCATATAATGACTTGTTTTCCTATGGGTAGATACCCAGTAGTGAGATTGCTGAATCAAATGGTAGTTCTACTTTTAGTTCTTTAAAGAATCTCCACACTGTTTTCCATAGCGGTTGCACTAGTTTACTTTCCCACCAGCAGTGTAGAAGTGTTCTCTTTTCACCACATCCATACCAACATCTATTATTTTTTGATTATGGCCATTCTTATGGGAGTAAGGTGGTATCGCATTGTGGTTTTGATTTGGATTTCCCTGATTATTAGTGTTGTTGAGCATTTTTTCATATGTTTGTTGGCCATTTGTATATCTTTTGAGAATTGTCTATTCATGTCCCTAGCCCACTTCTTGATGGGATTGTTTTTTTCTTGCTAATTTGTTTGAGTTTGTTTTAGATTCTGGATATTAGTCCTTTCTCAGATGTATAGATTGTGAAGATTTTCTCCCATTCTGTGGGTTGTCTGTTTACTCTGCTGACTTTTCGTTTTGCCATGCAAAAGCTCTTTAGTTTAATTAAGTTCTACCTATTTATCTTTGTTTTTATTGCATTTGCTTTTGGGTTCTTGGTCATGAAATCCTTGCTTAAGCCAATGTCTAGAAGGGTTTTTCCAATGTTATCTTCTAGAATTTTTATAGTGTTGGGTCTTAGATTTAACTCCTTGATCCATCTTGGGTAGAATTTTGTATAATGTGAGAGATGAGGATCCAGTTTCATTCTTCTACATGTGGCTTCCCAATTATCCCAGCACCATTTGTTGAATAGGGTGTCCTTTCCTCACTTTATGTTTTTGTTTGCTTTGTCAAAGATCAGCTGGCTGTAAGTATTTAGGTTTATCTCTGGGTTTGCTATTCTGTTCCATTGGTCTATGTGCATATTTTTATATTAGTACCATGCTGTTTTGGTGACTATGGCCTTACAGTATAGTTTGAAGTTGGGTAATGTAATGCTTCCAGATTTGTTCTTTTTGCTTGGTCTTGCTTTATCTATGCAGGCTCTTTTTTGGTTTCATATGATTTTTCTAGTTCCGTGAAGAATGATGGTGGTATTTTGATGGGAATTGCATTGAATTTGTAGATTGCTTTTGGCGGTATGGTCATTTTCACAGCATTGATTCTGCCCATCTGTGAACATGGGATGTGTTTCCATTTGTTTATGTGAACTACAATTTCTTTCAGCAGTATTTTGTAGTTTTCCTTGTAGAGGTCTTTCACCTCCTTGGTTAGGTATTCCTAAGTATTTTATTTTATTTTTGCAACTACTGTAAAAAGGGTTGAGTTTTTTATTTGATTCTTAGCTTGGTCACTATTGGTGTTTAGCAGAGCTACTAATTTGTGTACATTAATTTTGTATCCTGAAACTTTGTTGAATTCGTTTATCAGTTCTAGGAGCTTTCTAAAGGAGTCTTTAGGGTTTTCTAAGTATACAATCATATCATCAGCAAACAGCAACAGGTTTGACTTCCTTTTTACTGATTTGGATGCCCTTGATTTATTTCTCTTGTCTGATTGCTCTGGCTAGGACTTCCAGTACTATGTTGAATAGAAGTGTTGAGAGTGGGCATCCTTGTCTTGTTCCAGTTCTCAGAGGGAATACTTTCAACTTTTCCTCGTTCTGTAGTATGTTGGCTGTGAATTTGTCATAGGTGGCTTTTATTACATTGAGGCATGTCACTTGTATGCCAATTTTGCTGAGGGTTTTAATCATAAGGAGATATTGGATTTTGTCAAATGCTTTTTCTGCATCTACTGAGTTTATCATGTGATTTTTGTTTTTAATTCTGTTTGTGTGGTGTATCATATTTATTGACTGTCATATCTTAAACCATTCCTACATCCCTGGTATGAAACACATTTGATCATGGTGGATTATCTTTTTGATATGCTGTTGGATCTGGTTAGCTAGTATTTTGTTAAGGATTTTTGCATCTATGTTCATGAGGGATATTGGTCTGTATTTTTTTGTTATGCCCTTCCCTTGTTTTCATATTAGGGTGCTACTGGCTTCATAGAATGATTTAGGGAGGATTCCCTCTTTCTGTATCTTGTGGAATACTGTCAATAGGATTGGTACCAATTCTTTGAATGTCTGCTAGAATTCAACTGTGAATCTGCCTGGTTCTGGACTTTTTTTGGCTGGTAATTTTTAAAATATAATTTCAATCTCGCTGCTTGTTATTGTTCTGTTCAGGGTTTCTAATTCTTCCTGATTTAAGCTAGGAGGGTTGTGTATTTCTAGGAATGTATCCATCTCCTTTAGGTTTTCTATTTTATGTAGGTAAAAATGTTCATGCTAGCCTTGAATGATATTTTGTATTTCTCTGATGTTGGTTGTAATATCTCTCATTTTCTTTCCAATTGAGCTTATTTGGATCTTCTCTTCTCTTGGTTAATCTTGCTAATGGTCTATTAATTTTATTTATCTTTTCAAAGAACACACTTTTTGTTCATTTATTTTTATATTTCTTTTTTGTTTCAATTTCATTTAGTTCTGTTTTGATTTTTATTTCCTTTTTTCTGCTGGGTTTGGGTTTGGTTTGTTCTTTTTTCTCTAGTTCCTTGAGGTGTGACCTTAGATTGTCTATTTGTGCTCTTTTAGACTTTTTGATATAGGCATGTAAGAGTATAAACTTTCCTCCTTGCATCATATTTGCTGTATCCAGAGATTTTTATGGGTTGTGTCACTATTATTGTTTAGTTCAAAGAATTTTTAAATTTCTATCGATTTCGTTGTTGACCCAATGGTCATTCAGGAAGAGATTATTTAATTTCCATGTATTTGCATGGCTTTGAAAGTTCTTTCTGGAGTTGATTTCCAGTTTTATTCTGCTGTGGTCTGAGAGAGTACTTGATATAATGTCAACTTTCTTAAATGTATTGAGGCTTGTTTTGTGGCCTATCACATGGTCTATCTTGGAGAGAGTTCCATGCACTGATGAATGGAATGTATATTCTGCAGTTGTTGGGTAGAATGTTCTGTAAATATCTGTTAAGTCCATTTGTTCTAGGGTATAGTTTAAATCCATTGTTTCTTTGTTGACTTTCTGCCATGATGGCCTGTCTAGTGCTGTCAGTGGAGTATTGAAATCCTCCACTATTATTTTGTTGCTTTCTATCTCATTTCTTAGATCTAATAGTAACTGTATTATAAATTTGGGAGCTCCAGTGTCAGGTGCATATATATTTAGGATTGTGATATTTTCCTGTTGGATAAGACCTTTTATTATTACATAATGTCTGTCTTTGTCTTTTTTAAGTGTTGTTGCTTTATAATTTATTTTGTCTGATATAACAATAGCTATTTCTGTTTGCTTTTGGTGTCCATTTGTATGGAATGTCTTTCCACCCCTTTACCTTAAGTTTGTGTGAGTCCTATGTGTCAGGGGAGTCTCTTGAAGGCAGCAGATACTTGGTTGGTGAATTCTTATCCGTTCTGCAATTCTGTATCTTTTAAGTGGAGCATTTATGCAATTTACTTTCAATGTCAGTATTGAGATGTGAGGTACTAATCCATTAATTGTGCTATTCATTGCCTGTATACCTTGGTCTTTTTTAATTGTATTTTTGTTTTATAGTTCCTATGAGATTTATGCTTTAAAGAGGTCCTGTTTTGATGTTTCCAGGATTTCTTTCAAGATTTAGAGCTCCTTTTAGCAGTTTAGTGCTGGCTTGTTAGTGGCAAATTACTTCAGCATTTGTTTGTCTGAAAAAGAGTGTATCTTTCCTTTATTTATGAAGCTTAGTTTCACTGGATCCAAAATTCTTGGCTGATAATTGTTTTGTTTAGGGAGGCTGAAGAAAGGTTTCCAATCCATTCTGGCTTGTCAGGTTTCTGCTGAGAAATCCGCTGTTAATCTGACAGGTTTTCCTTCATAGGGTACCTGGTGCTTTTGCCTCATGGCTCTTATGATTCTTTCCTTTATCTTGACTTTAGGTAACCTAATGACAATGTGCCTAGGTGATGATCTTTTCACAGTGAATTTCCCAGGTGTTCTCTGAGCTTCTTGTATTTGGATGTCTAGGTCTCTAGCAAGGCCGGGGAAGATTTCCTCAGTTATTCCCCCAGATATGTTTTCCAAACTTTTAGATTTCTCTTCTTCCTCAGGAACACCAATATCCTTAGGTTTGGTCATTTAACATAATCCCAAACTTCTTGGAGGTGTTGTTCATTTTCTAAAATTCTTTTTTTGTTGTCTTTGTTGGATTGGGTTAATTTGAAAACCTTGTCTTCGAACTCTGAAGTTCTTGCTTCTGCTGTTTTTGATTCTATTGCTGAGACTTTCCAGGAGCTTTTGCATTTCTCTAAGTGTGTCCTTTATTTCCTGAAGTTGTGATTTTTTTCTTATGCTATCTATTTCACTGAGGATTTCTCCCTTCATTTCTTATATCATGTTTTCAATTTCCTTAAATTGGACTTCACCTTTTTCTGGTGCTCCTTAATTGACCTACTGAATTATTTTTCAGGTAAATAAGGGATTTGTTTTTTGGTTTGGATCCATTGCTGGTGAGCTAGTGTGATTTTTTTGGGGGGTGGTAAAGAACCTTGTTTTGTCATATTACCAGAATTGTTTTTCTGTTTCCTTCTCATTTGGGTAGGCTATGTCAGAGGGAAGATCTGGGGTTCAAGGCTGCTGTTCAGATTAAATTGTTCCATGGGGTGTTCCCTTGATGTAGTACTCTCCCCCTTTTCCTGGCAATGTGGCTTCCTGAGAGCTGAGCTGTAGTGATTGTTACTTCTCTTCTGGATCTAGCCACCCAGCAGGGCTACCAGGCTCCAGGCTGGTAATAAGGGTTGTCTACACAGAGTCCTGTGATGTGAACCTTTTGCAAATCTCTTAGCTGTGGAAACCAGCACCTACTCCAGTGGAGGTGGCAGGGGGGTAAAATGGACTCTGTGAGAATCCTTAATTTTGGTTGTTTAATGCACTGTTTTTGTGCTGGTTGGCCTCCTGCCAGGAAGTGGCACTTTCAAGAGGGCATCAGCTGTGGTAGTATAGTGAGGATCAGGCAGTAGGTGGGGGCTCTAGAACTCCCAGGAGAATATGCTTTTTGTCTTCAGCTACCAGGGTGGGTAGGGAAGGACCATCAGGTTGGGGAAGGGTTAGGTGTGTCTGAACTTAGACTCCCCTTGGGTGAGTCTTTCTGCAGCTGCTGTGGGGGATGGGGGTGTGATTCCCAGGTCAATGGAGTTATATTCCCAGGAAGATTATGGCTGCCTCTGCTGTGTCATGCAGGTAGTCAGGGAAGTGGGGGAAAGCTGGCAGTCACAGGCCTCACCCAGCTCCCATGCAACACAAAAGGCTAATCTCACTCCCACCGTAGGTACCAAGTTTGTTTCTAGGCAGTGGGTGAGCAGGGCTGAGAACTTTCCCTGGACTAGCAGCCTCTCAACTGAGAAAGCACTTAGGGCTTTTGCACCTCCCTGCCTGTTGAGTCTACTGGATTCCCCTCCTCTGAGTTCTGGCCAGGAGATTTCGCATTGGGTTGGAATTGCTACAAAGTTCAGCTGGAGGTTTCCTTCTCCCTGTGGTCTTTTCCCAGTACCTCTGGCAGCCCTCCCCAAGGAACCCTGTGAGGCAAGTCAGAAATTGCTTCCCAGGGACCTAGAGAGCCCACAGGGCTTTTCCTGCTGCTTCCTCTACCCCTGTATTTCACTCGGCTCTCTAAATTGACTCAGCTCCAGGTAAGGTCAAATCCTTTTCCCTTAATCTAGACCTTGAGGTTCCTCAGTGAGGGTGTGTGTTCGGGGGCAGATAATACCCCTTTCCCACTTTCACAACTTGGGCGCTCACAGTATTTGGGCTGTCTCCTGGGTCCTGCAGGAGGAAACCACTTTCTTCATAGGGTCTGTGGATTCTTTCGGCTTTCCTGGTATATTTCTGCAGTAGCTCTGGAGTAAAAGTTCATGATATAAGTCTCCACATGCTGCTCTGTCTGTCCCAGTGAGAGCTGCAATCTTGTCCTGCCTCCATACAACATTTTTTTCCCCCAGATCCCTGTTAAAGGCTTGCAGTTGGAAACTCAAATGGTGCAAGAGTATAAACTGGTACTGGAATCCAGAGCCTCATTCATTTTTCTTACAACTTCAGAGTAATATATTTTATGGATATACTTTAACTTATTTAGCTTGTGCCCTTTGATGAGCATTAGTGATTCCCCCAAAGGGCCCAATAAAATCATATGAATTTCATATTTCACGGCTTTGATGGCACATATTAAAAGTTGATTTTGACCTATCCTGCTTTTGATAGTTTTATGGAAAGAGTAATTTAGGCTTATTTCCAGCCTACTGTGGTAACTCAATAAAAGTAAATGCCAACTTCTTTATTCTTTTAAAAACACAATGGAGGAACAGAGAAAATAATTGCCACTATCACTAGCTGAAAAATATGTGACTTCAAGATTTGGTATACTAGGATCTTGAGAGTTGAGATTATGGGTATAACTTTGAGAAATAACATAGTTTATAATTACATGATTTGCTCTGATAGCCCTAAATTCCTTGATATTTGACTTAGATTTGGAGACATGAAGCCATTAGGCATGCTGGGATTGAGGAGGCACTGATGGGAGGGACTAGGAAGACAATAGGAACCCTCCAGAATGAGGGACTCACTTAGTTGGAGGTAGGAGTCATCCTTAGGACAGATGAGCAGCATTGTGGTTCTGGGAGCCATATCTGGATAGGAGCAGAGCCCTGCTAGTAGGTGGTGATTAGGGTTGAGCACCTGGGAATGGAGAAGAGCCATAGCTAGGTTGGTTGCTAGGCAATGGGAACCATTAATTTTTTTTTTTTTTAAGTTTTGCCCCTTCATCCACTGTCTCTAACTCCTGCTAGATATGATCAAGTTGCATGGGAGTGATGTAATTTGATCATATCTAGCAGCAGTTAGAGACAGTGGTTGAAGGGGCAAGACTACAGGTAGGAAAACTACTTTTGGAGCTATTACAATCATCTAAGTAAAAAACAACAAGGGCATGGATATGGCAGTAAGGGAAAGGGGATGACTAGGAGAACTACTTAGGAGGTAATATTCACAGGGCAGGATCATGGGTTAAAGCTGAGGATTCAGGGAGAAGGTCAAGTTGGGGAAGGGCTTACATATTCATTAAGTCATTCAACAAAGAAAAATCGATCACCTGTTAAACAACTGGCACCATGCTAGTTTCTGGAGACACAGAAGTGAGTAAGAGATGGGTTCCTGCCCTCTTGGAATATGCCTTTTGAGGAAGGCAACAATTAATAACTAAATAATAAATAAGCAAGATTATTACAGATTATAATGAAAGCTATGAAAAAAGAGGTGGATGAATTGTCTCATGCCCCTTCATAATCCACCCCTTCTCTACCCCAGCCCTGACAAATGCTGATTTGTTTTATGCCCTTATGATCTTACCTTTTCCAGAAAGTCATATAAATGAAACTATACAACATGTAATTTCTTAAATCAAACGTCTCATTTAGTGTAATGCATCCTTGTATATATATATATTCATAGTCCTTTTTATGGCTAAGTGGTCTTCCATTGTATGAATTCACTACAGTTTGTTTATTTGTCAGCTGAAGAACATTTGGGTTGTTTCAGTTTTTGTAAAACTTTTTGGAGAGTTCATTGAGGTGATGAAATGTTCTATAGCTTAATTTTGATAATGGTTACAAATCTGTGTGTTTGATGAAACACATATAGCTGGGAATTAAAAAGAGTGAATTTTACTCTACAAATTACACTTCAATGAACCAGATCTTTAAAAGCTATATACCTTAGACTTCTTTTAAAAAGGTAAGAAAAAGATAAAAAAAAAGATTATTGAATGAGAATAACCCAAGATTGAAGAGGATTGGGGCCATTTAAGATATGGAGGTCAGGGAAGAACTCTGAGGAATTGACATTTGGCCAGAGAGACAAGATATGTGTATTTATGTGTCTAAAAATTAGAAAAGAGACCAGTGTGGCCAGAAGAAGGAAAAGAGTAGCGTGATTTGAGATTAAGAGTCAAGTAGGGTCCAGACTATGAAGAACTTTCTAGGTTACAATGGGGAGTTTTGGATTTATTCTGGGCTCAGTGGGAGATTATTCAAGATTTTAGGTAGAGCTGTACCACTTCTTATTTACTTTAAAAAATGATCACACTGTTGTTGTCTGGATAATTAATTGTAGGGGGGAACAAGTGAGGAAGCAGGGAGTTCACAGTAAAAGTCCAAGTGAGAGATAAAGAAGAACCTGATGATGGTAATGACAGATGGGAATGAGTGGGTGAAGGATGGAGACAATTTTTAGATGGATAAAACCAGTAAACTTCACTAATGATTAAGATATTTAGATAAGGGTGAGGTAGGCATTCACAATAATTCTTGAGTTTTTTTGTTTTTTTTTTTGGTTTGAAACAATATGGGTGATGGTGATGGTACTGCCATTTACTGGGTTGGAGAATTGTTAGGTGAGGACCAGTTTTAGAAAGAAACATATAGAGTAGAATAAGACTTATGTCTTCTGTGGACTCAGTCACAAAGTCTGGGGGGTTTTTGGAGATTGCTATCTTGATTAACTTGGATGAATTGCTCTTACTCCTGAAATGGCTTATTCCAGATGCTGCCCTTGAATAACTCCAGTCATCTCATATCCCTGGGATCTCTCTATTCTTCTTAGGACTTGATTAAGTAAAATGCCACAAAATTGCAAAAATGTCCATGATAATTCATTGGTCTCTTGAATGTCACTCTTCCCATTAAGAGGTGGAGTTTATTTCTCTATCCTTTGGATCTCAGCTTGACCACATGACTTGTTCTGGCTAATGAAACATTAAAACATATTACATAAGTAGGTAATTTAAAAGTATTGGGGTTTGCCCTCTTGCTGATGGAAACCCTTATGTCATTCTATGAATGAGCCTAAGATGATGAGAAACATGGAGTCGTCACCCCAAATGACAGCAGACATGTGAGTGAAGCCCCTACTGTACCAACCAGTCTACCAATTTTTAGACATACAAGGTGGTCATCCTAAAATATCCAGCTTAAGATGAGCAGACTCAGAGCAGAACACCCCAGTCAACCGACAGAATCTTGGAAAATAATAATTTTAAAAAGTTATGTTTTAGAATGGTTTATTACACAGCAAACACTAATTGATAACAGCACCTAGAGTTTCAGTGGTGGTAAACAACCTCAGGCTTACTGCTGCCTAAATTTATTCTATGAATAACGTTGTTACTTGGCCTTATTTGTAAATGAATGCTACAGCAAATATAGCACCTGGCTGAACTGGCCAATGAAAGGGGTTAAAACTGATCCACAAAAGAAACTTGGAGTTTTTGGTGAAGACTGACTCCATGTTATTCCCTCATCAGTGGAGCATCAGCCCCTCATTTTTCTCTCCTAGTTATGATCATGATGTCAGATGCCAGGCCCAGTATGATGGCAATGATCAAAGAAGGAGTTTTCGGAGTCCCAAATGGCTGAGCAACTGGGACCTTGCCTGCAGCAGACAGATGGAGCATTCCTCTTATAACATACTTAACTCTTTGGTTAAAAGCAACAAATATGGATTTACTTAAAATAACAAGTAGGGATTAGATTGCTATTTTTGCATTAAGAAACCTCCCCATGTGGCATGAAGAGAACAGAAAATGGAACATTATAAAGCTACATCTCATTTCTTTTTATTATTATTATTATTTTTTATTTTATTATTATTATACTTTAAGTTTTAGGGTACATGTGCACAATGTGCAGTTTAGTTACATATGTACACATGTGCCATGCTGGTGTGCTGCACCCATTAACTCGTCATTTAGCATTAGGTATATCTCCTAATGCCATCCCTCTCCCTCCCCCCACCCCACAACAGTCCCCAGAGTGTGATGTTCCCCTTCCTGTGTCCATGTGTTCTCATTGTTCAATTCCCACCTATGAGTGAGAACATGCGGTGTTTGGTTTTTTTGTCCTTGCGATAGTTTACTGAGAATGATGATTTCCAATTTCATCCATGTCCCTACAAAGGACATGAACTCATCATTTTTTATGGCTGCATAGTATTCCATGGTGTATATAGTATTCCATGGTGTATATGTGCCACTCTACAATGAACTCAAACAAATTTACAAGAAAAAAACAAACAACCCCATCAAAAAGTGGGCGAAGGACATGAACAGACACTTCTCAAAAGAAGACATTTATGCAGCCAAAAAACACGTGAAAAAATGCTCACCATCACTGGCCATCAGAGAAATGCAAATCAAAAGCACAATGAGATACCATCTCACACCAGTTAGAATGGCAATCATTAAAAAGTCAGGAAACAACAGGTGCTGGAGAGGATGTGGAGAAATAGGAACACTTTTACACTGTTGGTGGGACTGTAAACTAGTTCAACCATTGTGGAAGTCAGTGTGGCAATTCCTCAGGGATCTAGAACTAGAAATACCATTTGACCCAGCCATCCCATTACTGGGTATATACCCAAAGGACTATAAATCATGCTGCTATAAAGACACATGGACACGTATGTTTATTGCGGCACTATTCACAATAGCAAAGACTTGGAACCAACCCAAATGTCCAACAATGATAGACTGGATTAAGCTACATCTAATTTCTTCCAGCTGAACAGAAGTTAACAAAGGAGACCATTTTGCCTAATACACCTGAATAGATACAGACATTCTAGTGGGCATGTTTAAAAAGGTTCCTGTTTGTTTGTGACTTAGAATTAAGATCTGAGCTAGAGTAAAAAGTTATGGAGTCATCAGGAGGTGATAAGCAATTCTTGAGAGTGGATGAGATGATCAAGAGAAGGGAGGAGGCATAAAAGGGAGGAAGCTGAGAAGCCATGTGACCTAGAAAGGTAGGGAAGGAACAGAAGCTAACAGGAGGCATTGTGGTTAGAAGCGCCCAGTCAGGAGTTAGACTTTTAAGTTTGAATTCCTAATTAGCCATTGACTTTGGGCTTAATGTCTCTGCACTTTACTTACCTTGAGTTAAAATGAGGATCATGATAATATCTAACTCCTAGGATTTATTGTGAGAGATGAATGTCACAATATAGTTAAAGTCCTTGAAACAGTGCCTGGCCCATATTTAATGTTCAGTAATTACTAGCATTATTTTTACTGCATTCAAAGGATTTCATGAGTTTCAAGAAAAGGGAAAGGATAGTTAGCATCCAATACTAAGGGAGGACAATTAAGAAATGTACTAAGAATGCCTATTTGATTTAACAGCTAGGATGTCTTGCTAAAATTGACAAAAACTGTTTTTCTAGAGTCATGGTGCTCAAACTAGGGTGCTGAGATGTGAGGAATGAGGAGGTGGTAAGGCTATTGGGGATCCAGGCCTAGCTCAACCACTGGCTGTGTGACCTTGTACAAACTGTTTAACCTCTCTGGGTTCATCTCCTTGGCTATACAGCAGGAGGAGGTAGAGGAAGAGACTGGATAATCGAATTCCCATTTAAAAAATATTCTTCAGTCAACTGATGAGAACCTGGATGGTCAACAAGCAGAATGTTGTAGAAATGATCATCTTCCTTTCAGATGGGCGGGTCAATGACCAGCCAAAATGTATGACATCTGACTTCTCATTTTCCTTCATGCTGCTGCCTTCAGAGCCAGATACATACACCAATACAGAAGTATATGCAGACAAGAGTGTATGCATGTATGTGCAAACACACCTACACATACAAACACAAATCACGCTCTTCAGAGATCCATATGGTAAGACTGCTCATAAGCAGATTATGCCACAGACCACAGATTTAGCCAACACTTACTGACAACTTGCTATGTGCTGAGTGCTCTGCTAGGAGCTGGGTATACACAGACATATTGGTCATGGTGATTTTTCTCAAAGGGGGAATACTCTAAGGACAAGGAAGCAGCTGACAATGAGTTCTATGATACAGTTCAACAAATATTTATTATTTTTAAATTTTTATTTGTAATGGGTACATAGTAATCGCACATATTTGAGGGGTACACTGTGATGTTTAATATATGTATTCATTTTGTAATGATACATCAGGGTAATTAGCTTATCCATCACTCAAACATGTATCATTTCTTTGGTGAGAACATTCAGAATCCCCTCTTCTAGTTATTTGATAATATACAATACAATATTGTTAACCATAGGCCAGGCATGGTGGTTCACACCTGAAATCCCAGCACTTTGAGAGACCAACCTGAGAAGATTGCTTCAGCCCAGGAATTTGAGACCAGCCTAGGCAATATAGTGAGACACCATCTCTACAAAACAAAACAAAACAATATTCTTAACTGTAGTTACCCTACCGTGTAATAGAATGCCCCAACTTATTCTTCCTATTTATCTATAATTTTATATGCATTTACCAATCTAACAAATATTTATTAAATGCTGACTCTGCACCAAACACTGTTCTGGGTACTGGAGGCAGCTATAGGAAAAATATGGATAAAGTCTTACAGTGTACAATTATTTCTAAAAGGGTGGCCTCACAAACTTTCAGATTTCTGATGAACCGCATTGATTGTTATCAAACAGTTGATCTCAGAATGTTACCTTGGAGGTCTCCCAGCTTCTGGCCTCAGTCTTTGAAGTAGCATAGGGACCATGACTTGGAGAAATGGGCAGATGGGAGGCTGAAAGGTGAGAGGGGAGCTGAGATCTCTTTTACTTGGGCTAGTCCAATTTCACTTGGAAGCCGTAATTCTCCCTAGAACTGAAAGGCATGTGCTTCTCATGTTTCTAAATGTGCTTTGGGAAGGTTTCTGTGACTGTTATCATACACCATCATTCTACTGGACTAATAGCAGCCTCAGACCAACTCCTTCTTTGAAAAGTCTCACAAATATTGGAGACTGCTGTATTGTAGACCACAGAGGTTTTGTGCAGATGACTCATTGTTGCTTCTCCTAGGTAGAATAAGAAGAGATGAAATGGATTCAAATCATCTTAGTTTGTACACGTATACTTCATGCTAGGTTTCAGAATCACATTATAGGCAACGGAAAGCGGTGAAGCCTGATTGAGCCTTGCTGGGTAACTCTCTCTCTCTGATTCCCTGAAGATTTCTTTCTCTTTCTTTGGCATATCCAAAGTCTCCCATTCCTCTCACACTAAAGCTTGTGAGAAACCTTTCAGATGCCGACAGGACTCTTTCAGGTTGCTCACCCTCGTGAAGGGCTGGTGGTTCCCACTGGATCCTTGAATATTTCTGCGTCATTCTCACCACTGTCTTGCGAAGTGTTTGGAGTGGGATTTTTCCATCCCTCCTGTTGGTGAAAACCACTTTTCATGGGTTGACAGAAATTTGCATTTGGGGGGTAGTTTTTAGCTGTTCAGCTTTTGGGGAGAAATGATGCAAATACAAACCTGGGGCTTAGTTCTTGGGAAATTCAGGAAGTGTCTCCCAGAGAGGGAGGGGGAGAAAGACAATTGTCAAAGTGCCTCTGCTACTGGCCCTCACATAAACACTCTTTCTCTTTTGTTCCTGCTGGACCCTGAAGAATAAAACTCAAGCACAAAGCAGAAGAGGTACTGGCAAGTGAATGCAGCAGTTTCCTAATCCATGTGGATCAAAACATGCAAGTTTTGATTCTGTAAACTATCTTCCTTAGCATGCTGGATTAATCACATGGATTAATAAAACACAGTCGCCTTCTCTCACTGGTGCCTTCAAGTCTTTGTACTTGCCCCCCACCCCCTCTTTTTTTTTTTAATCCAGTGGAACTCCATGAGAACAAAAGGGGTGACATTTTCTATGAGTACCACGGCCATCAGTCCATTGGTCCAAACCCTGTGGAAGGTAGGCTCTCTGCATTTCTCAGTGTGCAAAAGTCTTGTTTTGCGCCTTAGGGAAAACTCAAGGTGTCTTTTGGACTCTACATTTTGTGTAGTTTTGCTATGAGTGAAAAGTACCACAGTGAGGTTCTTTACTTGCAAACAAAAGCAAAGGCTAAATGAAAGGCATTTAGTACATGGTGATTAGGGCCTTGGTTAGTGAGTATGCATTTGTCTCAACTTTGTTTAGCCTGCTTACCTTTGATAAACCCACACTTCTCTGTTTTTTGGGACACGACCAGTTGGTCTATGTCTAATTCAACCACAGAAACAACTAACATTCCTTGAACTTGACTATGTGCCAGGTATTGTTATGACACTTTTCCTCAAGTGTCCATTTAATCCTCATAAAAAATCCTATGGCATAGTCATATTATTATCTCCATTTTCTGATAAAATAAGTGGTTGCATTGAGACAATTTAGATCTGGTACCCTTCATAGCCTGTGACTGTAACCCATGCTGCTATTCTTCCATGCCTGAAGCCTGTTTGTTTAAGCCTGTTTAATTGTGCCTTCAACAATTAGATTCATCTTCCCACTCTATGTTTTAATGTTTCTTAGTGCACGGGGACTTTAAAGAGGTAAGATAATATGGTAGATCATTTCCTGTTTCAGCCCACAGTTGCTGTTATTCATTAGTTAGAAAACCCTTATTGAAAGCCTCATAGGAAAAAATAATACAGAAGGAGAAAGGGATAGAGGGAGCAACTGAAAATGGGAGAAAAGCAAAGTCTTGAAATATACCAAGATATATGGATACTTTGATATCTGGTACTTGCTTGTTTTAGTGCCATTGTGATAGAGTGAAGCTACTTATTTTTATTTCTTCATAGTCTCTATCCTGCACAGCACCATCCCTCTTTCCTTCCCTCCATAGCGAGAATTCTCTTTTTCTCTTAGCCTACTTGGCCTCTGCTTCAAATTTACAAGTAAAGGAGAATTCTACCCTCACCAGTAAGCTCCTTGGCCTTTCTTAGGCAGATCAGGGCAATGGGTAAGTGAAGAACCAGGGAAACAGAGGAACAGGAAAAATTCCAAGAGTAAGAGAAGAAGAATTACAATGTCAAGTGGGGCAAAGAGGAAGGGCAAGGGAGCTTGTGGTGGTAGCTGGGTGAGGATGGGCTCCTGGGAGCTTGGAGCAGGGGAGGATTGTGGAGAGGAAGGGAGGGACAGTTTCTGTGTATATGGAAGAGAGAGTGATGGGGGAGAAAGAGAGGAAGAGGGTGGAGGGGAAGGGGGATAGAGAGGGAGAAAATGAGCAAAAGTTAAGAAAAGAGGCTTTTAAGGAATTTGTTGTGTCTTGTGAATCTAAACCTTCTTCAGTATTTCCTCAATAGACTGAAATTAAGATTTAAATTAATCTTCAATTATTTTTGGACACCAGTTAAAATTTATTTTATCAAGACTTCTAGACACATCTAGGCCAGAAGGAAGCACGAATGGGCTCTACTTCTTAGGGGTGACACATCTTAAAATCGCCAGGCTGTGTGCATATGTTCTACCCGACTTCTTCTTGGTCTGACTCTATCATTAAAATATGTGGGAAATGCCAGTTGTTTCTCCTCAGACATGTGTGAGGTAGCTGATACATTTATTCAGTTTCTATTCAAAATAGTATGCGTTGAATGTGCAAATCAATGGTGAAGGAGACATTGTCCTTGCCCTTTGATAAAAGAAAAATTTCAGCCAAATTAAATATAAAGGAGTTTAATTGAGCAATGAACAATTTGCGAATCAGGCAGCCTCCGTGACAGGGTAGGCTCTGAGGCTTCTGTGCAGCCATGTGGTAGAAGAAGATTTACAGACCGAAAAGGGAAAGTGGGAAACAAAAAACGGAAGTGAGGTACAGAAACAGTTGGATAGGTTACAGGTTGGCGTTTACCTTATTTAAACATGGTTCAAACAGTTGGCTACATTTGATTGCTTGGTGATTTGCACAAGTGTAGGCTGTGGTCTGCTTACACCTCAACTTGTTACAGTTCACGATGTACAGTAAAACCTTTAGGCTGAACTTAAAATATGTAAGGAGGCAGCTTTAGGCTAAACTTGATTTAACACCTTATAGAGCTTATTTTCTAGGGGAAGGAGCAGAAAATAAACCATTAAAATATACAAACAACGCAATTACAGATTGTGAAAGGGACTATAAGGAAGGTAAACTTGAAGTAACTTCCTGTGAAACTGACAGTTAAACCTGGATCTGAAAAGCAAGGACCTAGTTATACAAAGAACTCTGGAGAAAAAAAAAGTCTCAGTAATTTTTAGTGAAATATCTGGGAAATATATATTTAAATAAGATTTCCTCACTTCTCTCTTTTTGAAAATCCAGGTATTCAGACAGATTAGATTTACCTAATCTGAACAATACAGAGAGAAAATGGACTGAGAGAAAAGAACATTATCAAGGATGTGTGGGACAATAACAAAGTGCTAACATTTGCATTGTTGAGGTTCCTGCAGAAGAGTAGAAGGTGGGACTGAAAAAGTATAAGAGTTGCCTCTTATCCATGGGGGAAATACATTCCAAGATCCTCCCAGTGGACGACTGAAACTATGGATAATACCGGATCCTATATATACTATGTTTTCTCCTATACATAGATATGATGAAGTTTAATATATAAATTAGGCACAGTAAGAGATTAACTATAACTAATAATAAAATAGAACAATTATAACCTTACGCCAGTATCACTACTCTTGTGTGTTGGTGCCATTATTAACTAAAACAAGGATTACTTGAACACAAGCACTGCGATATTGTGACAGCTGATCTGATAACCAAGACGACTAGGAAGTGGCTAGTGGGCAGGTTGCATGTGCAGCATGGATACACTGGACAAAGGGGTGATTCACCTCTCAGGTGCGATGGAGCAAGATGGCACGAGATTTCATCATGCTTTTCAGAATGGTGCATAATTTAAAATGTATGTGTGGTTTATTTCCAGAATTTTCCATTTAATATTTTCAGACTGTGGTTGAGTGTGGATAACTGAAACCATGGAAAGTGAGATGGTAGATAAGGGGGTCTTCTGTATATGAAGAAATAATGGCTGGAAACTTCCTAAATTTGGTCATTATCTTATCTTCCTAAATTTGGTCATTATCTTATCTTCCTAAATTTGGTCATTTTAATCTTTTCCCAAATACATTTAACCCTTTCCACAATATTCTTCAATTTGTATTTTTATAATTGAAAAATTCATGAAAAAGTATATTTTAATTCCTTTGTAAAGCAAGGAATTTTGTGGACTATACTTACTCCTAATGCAACTTCTCATTTTTGTATATATAATTTAGAATTTGGACATTTTCAAGTAAAATTTTAAAGAAGAACATTTACTTGATATGTTTCCTGATCCTTTGCGTATCTTAAAAAACATTTTACCATTGTATTTCCATGTGAATAAAAATTTAACAAGAAGTAAAGTTATTTAGTGTTTGTAGATGTTAGGACATTGTCTTTGGCATTTGAAATTGCATAAAAAGAAGCATGGTACCAATCTTATTTTTGTACAGAAGTAGATGTTCTTTATTTTTCTACCAAGATACTTACACAGTTTTTCTTTATGAAAAAAAAGAGATGAAAAGTAAAATTTGCTAGGATAAGTTAATATAGGACTCCTTTAAATTAACTTTACTTAAAACACAGTGAACTCTTTTGGTTTGAATTATCAGGATTTTTCACCACATTATTTTTCTTAAATTATATCTTTGCTTATTGATTGGATTTCAGTTACTCTTTCTATGTTTTCAACAGGGAACTCCGAAATTTCCTAGGTTCCTCATCTTCCATCATATTTTCTATTCTCTCACAACTTTCATTTCTTTGTTCTTTTTTCTTCATTAAAGGTGGGCTTCTCAAGTTTGTTCTGCATATCGAGACTCTGTCAAGTACAACTAACAGAAGCTGCCATGCCCAGTGTAGAGATCCTGCCCTAGTTTCTCTCCTCTTCTCAAGATGGCCTCACATTCTAGAACAGCCCTCTTCCTGTGTCAGTGAGCAGACTCTTCTCAGAAGTTCTCAGCAGACTTCCCCTCAGATCTCACAGACTTTAACTAAGTCATGTGACCTCCTTTAAACTAATCACAGTAAGAGGAATGAGACTACCATTAGTAGAGACTTTCCCTTGAGCTGGGAAAAGGATGACTTACTTGAGGTATGGATATTGAATAAAAGGTGATTTCTGTTTGTGAAGAACATGATTTCTATTTGCATCAACAGTGTCTGCTGCATCCTCCTATTGATTTGATTTTGTCACTGTGTTGATTATTCAATTTATTCATCCATTTTGCTATTGGACATTTAATTTCCTTGCAATTGTTCCTTATCTCACCCTGCTCTGTTTTGTCTCTGCTGATTGGTCTTTGCTGTTCATCCTGTTGTTTTTAATCATCAAAAGCTCTTATATTGTCATTTTATCCTGTTCTTTTCCTGGTTTCTGTTCCTGTTCAGTAAGGCTATGTCTTCTGTATACCATTAAGGATGCAAAACTCTTTTTCAAAAATTCCCGAAATGACTGGTTCCAGGAGGTTTTTCTGAGCCTTCAAGACAACCTTCTCTATTTTGCTATGGAAAAGTACCTATTATGCTTATAGGTAACATTGTATGAATTCACATTTTAAAAAATCTTTGAACAGCAGTATCTCAGGTCCTTGGTGTTTTTTAGAAGACATGTTGTACAGATGTCATTTGGTCATTTGCCTCTGTTCATTGTTCACTTGGAAGTTATTTCAATCTTTCTTTAGTTGGTAAGTATAGGCTAGGCCTGTTCCCAGGGTTTTGCCTACATCTTCTAGTGTTCTTCTCCCACAATAAGGTAGGATCTTCCTTGTCTTGTTTTCCGGTACTCACGAATTATAAGAAAGTTTACAACTCCAGCAAGCATTATTACCATGAGGCTTCTCACTGACTTAATGCTTCACATGTAGATCTCTAGGTTCTGGGATAGACTGTACAACTGTCATTCTTATCTCTTTCTTATACATTCCAGCATGGTTCAAGGGCAGGGACTAGAGTAGTACATGGCCTGCCTTACACATCAGTGTGCATAATACATAGGAGTGGCTGTGATTTTTTGTTTTTATTTTGTTTTATTGATATATTGATATATTTCGTTTCTCCCTGTGAATAGTTATTATCATACAGTAGTAATCATAGGGTATTTACAATTGCATGCTTTGCCTTAACTTGCCATTACATCAATTTTTTTGATATTGCTTCATAGTTCAGGTCAATAAACCTATATACATATTCTTTTAATGGCTCAATGATATTATACCCAGTTGTCTTTCAATTATTGAATTAACCACAGACCTTTGCTTTCTAGGGTTGGGTGTGTGGGCAACTGGTTGGAGTAAAATGTCTCCCTCCTGTTTTTTAGTCAGTTGGGGCTCCTTTGTTAATCTCGCAGAGTATGGCTATGGATGGCTCCCCACCTTGTTCTCATTCCAATTCTTTTTTATATAAATGCCTTTTAGAATCAAGCATAGTGTATTTCTCAGGCTTAGATTTTAGTAGGAAGTGGGAAGAGGCTGTACCTGGGAATGATGGCTGGTAGATGGCACTGTTCTTTGAATAATGAATTTTCACTTGCTATTGTTGATTTTATGGAATTTTGCCATGTAACCTTGTCTACATTTCTTAGCATCTATAAAAGTGGTAATTATTCACAATAGCAAAGACTTCGAACCAACCCAAATGTCCATCAATGATAGACTGGACTAAGAAAATGTGGCACATATACACCATGGAATACTATGCAGCCATAAAAAAGGATGAGTTCATGTCCTTTGCATGGACATGGATGAAGCTGGAAACCACCATTCTCAGCAAACTATCACAAGATCAGAAAACCAAACACCGCATGTTCTCACTCAGAAGTGGGAGTTGAACAATGAGAACACATGGACACAGGGAGGGGAACATCACACACTGGGGCCTGTCAGGGGGTGGGGGGCTAGGGGAGGGATAACAGGAGAAATACCTAATATAGGTGACAAGTTGATGGGTGCAGCCAACCACCATGGCACATGTATACCTATATAACAAAACTGCACATTCTGCTCATGTAACCCAGAACTTAAAGTATAATAATAATAAAAAAGTGGTAATTACAAAAGATGGTGGAGACTGTCAGTGATGCTGTGATGTCAGCTCTGTGAAGGGCTGACCAACAAGCTGTTCCATATTTCTCACTGCATGATAAATAATTTCTTTATTAACAATGAGCTTATTGCCACTTTCCTTAAGACTAAACAGCTAAGCAAGAATGCATTTTTGATAGTATGTAGTTGGAAACTTGTTTTAAGCCATAAATACCTCATGCACTAGTCTTTGCTTCAACCTGCAGTTCTGTCAAGATGGTACCTGACTTTGGAATAGAATCCACAGGGCCAACAGCACATGAGAATCTGGATACAGATGGCGTATTGTAGTGCAACCATGTCACTCAGTTGCGGAAGGATTCTGCTTAGGATGGGCAAACTACTGGAAACAGATGCATTTGTATAGGAGTGCCTCTTGTAGTCACACTGAGGCTTCCAGAGAGGAGTAACAACTTTTCTCTGCTAATTACATCTACTAGAGACTCACTTTATTTCAGGACTCTCTTGCGTGGCACAGAGATGATTTGGAAAAAGAATGTTCTGCTATACATCAAATGGCATGACTTAGCCATTTCACAGTATATACCTGTGCTGGTACCTCATATTGTATACCATAAATATACACATTTTTTACCCATAGCTTAAAAATAAATTAAAAATAATTTAGAAAAAGAAAGTAAAAAGAGTATTCTTTATTATATGTGGTTAAGCACTAGTGTTAATGTGTTTATTCATTTATAAACCACAGTTATGTGCTGTATGGAATTAGGATGGAGATAACCTGCTAGTTACAGCAGTAATAACATTATTTATTTAAAGATTTGACCAATTCTAATTTAATATTTAATGGCATATAATTAAGGAAAGTGATTACAGTCAAAACTGTGGAGGATTATAATCTGCTTCCTCTATGTTGTAGAAAGAAAAAGAATCTCTTTTCTATGAATTTTCTTGTTATTTAACATTGAAGAATTGTAATTAATAAGAGCATGCTGCAGATATTTCAATTATTATGAAAAATTCATTTCAGGAAGTATGGTCAATGGAGTGAGAAGTTCTCCAATTTCCATAACTTGACAAAACTTATTGCTTTGAAGAATTATAACTGTGCACTTATCATTGCTTTGAAGGCTTATAGCCCCATGTACATAGTTATTATCATACAGTAGTAATCATAGAGTATTTACAATTGCATATTTTGCCTTACCATTACATCATTTTTTCTATATTGCTTCATAGTTCAGTTCAATAAACCTGTATACATATTCTTTTCATGGCTCAACAATATTATACCCAGTTGACTTACTATAATACTATTGAATTAAACATTTATCCCTTGTGGGACATTTAGGTTGCTTTTATTTATTTATTTTTCCTTTCATGAATAAGTTTAAAATGCTTGCTTCTATAAAATTCAAGAATCATATTGAAATGAACTATTGCTCTGGCTACATATTTAATAGGAATATCAGCAAAATTAGTCCTAATGAAGCATCCAAGATTTACAAAGTTCTGCACAGAGGCAAACATAATCCCATAATTTTCTGATTAATTGGTTTAATCTGCAAAGGTGGTGATGGTAAAAGTGCTGTGAATGGATGGCACTGGAATAATGATAATAATGATGAGCACATCATCATCAACAACAATAATAGTGATAAAACATTTACTGAGCCCTTATGATACACCAGGCACTCTTCTAAGTGCTTTCTGTGTATCAACTTATTTGATCCTCACAGGAATCCTATGAGTAAGGTCCTATTATTATCTGCATTTTACAGAAGAGAAAACATACATAGAGAGGTGAATAATTCCCAGTTATTATAGAGTTAATATTTCTTGGATGCTTTATGTTGATGACTGTGTAACTGATTTACATGTATCCCTTTATTTAATGATCCCAAAAATCCTTATGAGGGGTATAATTAATACTGCAATTTTGTAGATGTAGTATTTGAAGCCAAAAGGGGCAAGTCAGGTGACTGAGGTCACAGTGCTTATAAAGATCAGAGACTCAAACCTAACTCTGCCTAATTCCAAAAGTCAGGCAAAAGCTGAAGTCTTAGCTACTAAGTTGTACTGCCATCATGGGACCTGAATCCAGTGAAGTTAAATGATTCACCCAGAGCTACCTTGTGAAGAGTAGCTGTCCTATACTGGAACCATGTCACTTCTCCCAGTTCAGTGTCCTTTCTGATACACTGTTGTGACTTCTCTTTTTTGTATCTCCCTTTCCCAAAGCTGCCTCTCTCTCTCTGTCTTCTCTTGCCTCACTCTTCTTTTTCTGTAGACTAGCTGTCTCTGCTCTGTTTGTACATGGATGATCATAGGCAGCCCAAAATGTGCCCTTGTCTCCCAGGTCACCAGACTTTCCAGCCAGTTGATCTAGCCCCTGTGCCTCAATTTCAGATTTTTGAGAATGAACAGTTTAATTGATCCAATCAATCCCAGGGCTTACCCAATCACCTGTGTTGTTGTGTGTGTGTGTCACATGGTACCAGGCTATGGGTGGGTCAATTTCTCTAAGATGGGTATATAGGCAGCAAAGTAGGGGCTGACATGTCATTATGTCACCAATTGGAACCAGGCAAAAATCCAGAGCTTTCTAAATAGGGGAAAGGGGCTGTGTGGGTCTTGTCATCCATCGGTGACTTCACTGGCCAGCCTGTGTACAAAATTCTTGTGTATAATTCTGCATGGAGGGGTTTAATGTCTGATAGTTACCCCTCCTCTGTCATCCACATGACCATTTCAGCAGCTGTCCTCTTTGCACCATGAGAACACAGCTCCGGGAAGTTTGAATTAGATTAATTTTCATCTTTGCCAATGAGGTGAGGAGGACTTCTTTATCTTGATCCAAGATTCAGCTGCCCTGCCATCCCTCTTTATTGTATAACAACAATGAAAACAGCTAAAATGACTTGATTTTGCACAGCTGTAGGAGGGCCTCCACCCTTTTTCTAATTTGGTCATATCAGGTGACATTTGGTAACATGCCTGTGTTGGCTACTGCTTCTTGTCTGGATTGGAAGATGAAAAAGATCAATGTCTTTCATTGTAGATATGTACACTCAAGGCACACAGATATACTAATTGGTAGTGCTTAATATGTTTTCAATTCAAAGAATTTGTACCATTAGAACTAACAGCCCTGGAGAAAAACAGTGGACTTTCTCCTCATGTTTTAATTGGGGTATTAGTAAAAATTCTGGCATCTGAAATGCTATTAAAATGCATGTCAGGAAATGTTTTCTTTTTTTCTTTTTCTTTTTTTTTTTTTTTTGTGACAGAGTTTCACTCTTGTTGCCCAACCTGGAGTGCAATGGTGTGATCTTGGCTCACTGCAACCTCTGCCTCCCGGGTTCAAGCGATTCTTCTGCCTCAGCCTCCCGAGTATCTAGGATTACAGCCACTATGCTCGGCTGATTTTTTTGTATTTTTAGTAGAAACGGGGTTTCACCATGTTAGCCAGGCTGGTCTCGTACTCCTGACCTCAGGTGATCCGCCCGCCTCGGCCTCCCAAAGTGCTGGGATTACAGGCGTGAGCCACCATGCCCGGCCTCAGAAAGTGTTTTTTTGCACTGATTCCAGTGCCTCAGCTGACTGTATTGCTTCTTTTAAGATCATTCAACTACATAATGACTTCTATAAATATTCTTTTTGAAATGAAAAACTTTGTCTGTAGTCAAAGTTTCAAAAAAATCTTTGATTTCATCAGGTTTCCCATTTTAAATGAAGATTTTAATTTTGCTGCACTGAATTATTATTTTTATCAGGGCAAAAAAGTAGTTAATCAAAAGGAATTGATTTTGCGATTTAAATACCTATATAGAAAAAAATTAAAGGAAGATATGAAATGTCTCCATTTCTTATGGGAAGACATTTAGGGGAATAATTTTGTGGGTTTCTTGGGTGTAGAAATGGTTTGTTTTCACTTGCAAATGTTAGAATTTTAAATTTTGTTAAGTCCCATTGGCAGCAAATATTGATATTTTGAAAACGAATTATTCCATTTGGATTTGTGCTAAAATTCTACTACTCGCATATTTTCTTTTTATTTATTAAATGGTAAAACAGCTCTGACAGCTCCTTAGAACTCTGCATGGTAGATGAAGAGTATAAGCTGTACACAGGGTGAGGAGGTAAAGGGTTCTGAAATAGCACCCTTGCATGTGCCCAAGCACTTGCCTGGTTATTTTCTTTCTGACATCTGGGAAGAGCAGCGGAGACCTCTGTGTCAGGACAATGAAGTTTTCCTATCAATGTCGACCTTCAGAAACTGACGTAATTGCTCTAATTTAATGCAGTTCAGCTGTCCTTGCATGTTGTAGCTTCCGTCATGAAGTTTTGCTTAAGAGTGGGCTTGTTTTTGTAGAAAGATGGGATGCGGGGGCGGGGGGTGGGGAAATGAATATATAATCTTTGAATCTGGATTTGCTTTTTTTCTTTTTTAAACTTAAAAGAGCTAATGTGTTTTCTAACTTACAGGCTTTCTGATTAACTTTGCTTAAACTTCTTCCATAGTCTACTATGGGGTAATAATACTACACTTGGCCAGATTTGGGGATTAGATGAGAATTTATACATGGAACACCTAGTATAGTGCCTGGCATACAGTAGGTGCTCCATGCATATTCGTTTTTCTCCATCCCTCCTCTCTATTTGAGTACCTTTTAAAATGGGACCCAAGAAGGCATCAATCCTCGTTTAGGTATCGTAAGGGTAAAATAACATATCCCAGACTAGATGGTGTAAAAGTTGAAGTCTTCAGTCACTTGATATCTCTACAGCTTTTAGTTGTTAGAAAATTTTGTTAAAAGGTTGAGGAGCCCATCAAGTTAAAAGGTTGAGGAGCCCATAAACTCAAGTTTTGAGTTTTGTCCTATGTCAGAGGTATCTACCCTTGCACCCCACTACATAGAGGGTCTGTAAAAATTCAGATGTGCCTGCAAACTGGTCAGCTTGGTGTAGATATTTTATCTGTCTATCTATCTATTTATGTATCTATCTATTTATAATAGATCTCTCTCTCTCTCTCGATTCTGTTAGTCAGGGTTCTCCAGAGAAACAGACACATAAGCTATACATAGATGTAGAAAAGAAAAGATTTATTTAACTATTGACTCACATGATTATGGAGGCTGAGAAGTCCTCCTTATCATTATTACCAAACTTTCTTCGTCTTTAATGTTTATTTCTTTGAAATATACTTTTACATTAATATAAGCCACTCAAGATTTCTTTTGATTATGTTACTGTGGGCTTTCTTTTTCTATGTTTTTACTTTAATACTATTTATGTCTTTATATTTAAAATGTGCTTTTTGTAGGCAACTTGTAGGTAGGTCTTGCACTGTTTAGTCAATCTGACATCTCTGTCTATTAATTGAGGGTGTTTAGGTCACTTACATTGTGAGTATTACTTTAGTTTGGTTTAAGGCTATCATCTTATTTGCATTCATTTGTCTCATTTGTTCTCTGTTCTTTTGTCTCTTTTCCATCTTCTTTTGTATTAATCGATATTTTATGATTCCATTTCATCATCTTTGTTGGCTCATTATCTGTAAATCTTTGTTTTGTTATTTCAGTGGTGCTTTGGGGTTTATGGTATTCACATTTAACTCTCTCTTTTGTGACCTCCAATTGTGCATGTATTGGACTTCTTGATATTCTTATTAATATTTTTAATTTTGGAGGAGGGTTTTTGCTGTGTCACCAAGGATAGGATATAGTAGCTATTCACAGGTGCGATCATAGTGTACTATAGCCTTCAGCTCCTGGGCACCAACAATCCTCCCACCTCAGCTTCCTGAGTAGCTGGGACTTACAGGCATGTGCCACCATGCCTGGCAATATTTTTAAATTTTTTAAAATTATTTTTTTCTGTCTGAATTTTATTTTGGATAATTTTTATTGTGGTGTCTTTTTTTTTTTTTTTTTTTTTTTGAGACAGAGTCTTGCTCTGTTGCCCAGACTGGAGTGCAGTGGTGTGATCTTGGCTCACTGCAAGCTCCGCCTCCCTGGTTCACGCCATTCTCCTGCCTCAGCCTCCCAAGTAGCTGGGACTACAGGTACTCGCCACCATGTCTGGCTAATTTTTTGTATTTTTAGTAGAGACTGGGTTTCACCATGTTAGTCAGGATGGTCTCGATCTCCTGACCTCGTGATCCCCCCGCCTAGGCCTCCCAAAGTGCTGGGATTACAGGCGTGAGCCACTGCGCCCAGCCTATTGCTGTGTCTTCAGCTCAACTAACCTTTCTTTCTGCAATGTTTAATCTGCCATCCAGAGTATGTTTTAATATCAGACGTTCTAGTGTCCATCTCTAGATCCTCAATTTGAGTCTTTTAAAAGGTCTTTCTGTCTCTACTTAATATTTTGAACTTATGGAATAGAGTTATAACTGTTTTAATGTCTTTGCTCCTTTGCCTCCCTGGTAAGAACTGATTAGATGGCAAACATTGCAAATTTTACCCTTTTGGGTGCTGGATATTTTTGCCTTCTTATAAATATTCTTGTGCTTTATTCTGTGATACAGTTAAGTTACTCAGTAACATTATGATTCTTTTGGGTTTTGCTTTTAAGAGTTTTATTAAGTCAGGACAATAGAAGCAGTTAGTCTTAGGCTAATTCCCCATCACTGAGGCAAGACGCTTTTGAGCACACTATCCAGTGCCCCATGAATTATGAAGTTGTCCAGTTTGGCTGGTGAAAACAGGCACCATTCCTGGCCCTACTTGAGTTCCCACTAATCCTTTTGGATGGGTTCTTTTTAACTTAGAGCAGTTTCCTCGCTGCCATTCACTGATCAATACTCTGCTGAATACTTGAGGGGGACCCTCTATAGACTCCTGGAGAACTCACTCTCTTTAGCGCTCTTCTCTTAGTATTTTTCACCAAGAACACTACCCATTTTGCTCTCCCCAGCCCTCCTCTTTTCTCCTCAACTCAAGGAGTCCATGAGGCTCTGCCATGGTTCCCTCCCTGTGTCACAGCAGTAAACTTCTTTCAAGGGGCTAAGCTAAATAATCTTAGGGATTACCTTGTTTTCTCCCATCTTTCTGGGTTCACTGTGCTTTTAGACTGACACGCTAATTTTTTTTGTAGCAGCTGTTAAGAAGTCTTTTATTCTTTCTCAGGAACTTTGCTAAGTATTTTCTAATTTGACAGTAGTTTCTTTTATTTAAATTCCAAGTGAATTATTTGAGTACAGATGAACTTCTGAATATAACTTGAAGTTCCAAAATGCTATGATCTTGTTAGAGTATCCATAGCACCTAAATGAAATATAACAAAAGTGTATTTGATTTTCACTCCCACCAACAGTGTATAAGTGTTCCTTTTTCTCCACAATTTCACCAGCATCTGTTATTTTTTGACTTTTTAATAATAGCCATTCTCACTGGTGTGAGATAGTATCTTATTGTGCTTTTGATTTGCATTTCTCTAATGATCAGTGATGTTGAGCTTTTCTTCATATGATTGTTGGCCATATGTATATCTTATTTTAAAAAGTATCTGTTCATGTCCTTTGTCCACTTTTTTATGGACATGGATGGATAGAGGCCATTATCTTTAGCAAACTAACACAGAAACAGAAAACCAAATATCACAAGGTCTCACAAGTAGTAGTTAAATGATGAGAATACATGGACACATAGAAGGGAACAACATATACTGGGGCCTTTCAGAGGGTGGAGGGTAGAAGGAGGGAGACGATGGGGAGAAATAACTAATGGGTACTAGGCTTAATACCTGGGTGATGAAATAACCTGTACAACACATCTCCATGACGCAAGTTTACTTACATAACAAATCTGTACTCGTACCCCTGAACTTAAAAGATTTTAAAAAGTGTATTTGAACTTAGCTAATAATATATGTTTCTTAATATGTCATCCTGCCTTTGAGAGCCCAAATGCAAATAATATTTATGTCTTGAATTGTTTTTATTGTGAAGGTTAAGAAAAGGAAAGGATTCTAAATCTAATTTATTTGTAGTTTAAAAATCAGTAAAATGATGAAACATGAGCAATTATTTATGTTAATGTGAATGAATATTCCAGGCTGCTTTTTTATAAAAATGTACTTTTTAGTGTATCTTTAGGAGAAGATCAAGATATGCTTGTGCCTTGTGGCTAGGTGTCTGTGTCATAACAGAAGTGAATTCAGCTCCTGATTTGATAAAGTGCTGAAATCAGTCAAAATGGCTCCTCTCTTCCTCCTTCTTTCCTGTTCCCACTCCTGCTGGACTACATCCCACCCCTTTCTGCAAATGCACACATCAATAGTTTTTGTGACCCTGGGAATCAGCCAGAGAATCCATAGAGCATCTCTCTTATTTAACAAGTGCCAGGGACCCAGGAACTGTAGGCAATAGAATAAATCTATGCTCTAAAAAAAAGGGCGAATATGTTGGGAAAAAATAAAAACACTTTAGGAGGCTCTTATCTTGTGGAGGGGCTCTACAAAGATATATAATCTGGCAGAAGATAATTGTAAAGATTAAATGCACTGCAAGAATTGCAAGTGGCCGGGAAAACACTTCTTCAGGCCTTCTTAGAAGCGCTTGCTGTACCAGAGCCAGACACTGCTCCAAGCTTTCCCAGGATGACATCAGTTTCAAGTGCATAAGCACAGCAGGAAAATGCAAAATCTGAAATGTTGAGTTTCAGGTGTTGTTGAGAGAGCTGGTGTGGAACTTCAGAGGAAAATTGAAAACATGAGTCTGTTTCTTAGTTCTGTTAGAGAGCTGTGGTCCTTCTTTGTACAGAGGAGGTAAGCAAAGCTTTGAGAGAGGTGGTGCACAAAAGAGATAGAACTTTATGGCTGTACCACTGCATATGATATGGAGCAATTTAAATGTAAATTTTCTAAAATAAGTAAAATGTAAAATTCAGTTCCTCAGTTACACTGGCCATACTCAACTGTTTAGTAGCTACCTCCGGCTAGTGGCTGCTATATTGGAAACCTATTTCCCAAAATTTGGTGGTAAAGGGAAAGCAGAAGATAAGACTGCAACTAAATAGAACTAAAAGGGTGTAGTCATTTATAAAGATAAAAGAAGAGTTCAAAATATCCTGTAGAAACATGGACAATTAATATAACGTGGTCTTGGGAGAAGTATCAAGGGATGAAATGAGGTCAGGTAGAGACTTGATTGAATCTTGGCAAATAAAAGAGCACAGAAAAAAAAAGTGGGTAAGTGGAGACAGAGAGTAGAGAGTTGTGAAGGGGTTCATACTGGATGGCTTGCTCTTCTTAGTGGTGTAAGTATTGGGCTGGGAATGAGGTTTTGTTCTGAGGAGAATAGAGAAGGTTTGCGTGGCTACCATACAAGGATGTGTGTGGCTTATTAAAGGATACCCACCTAGAGGGATATGGTCCATGTCAAATATTAAAACCCCTTGGCCGGGCATGGTGGCTCACACCTGTAATCCCAGCACTTTGGGAGGCCAAGGCTGGCAGATCACGAGATCAGGAGATTGAGACCATCCTGGCCAACATTGTGAAACCCCGTCTCTACTAAAATACAAATAAAAATTAGCCAGACAGGGTGGCGTGCGCCTGTAGTCCTAGCTACTTGGGAGGCTGAGGCAGGGGATTCCCTTGAACCTGGGAGGCAGAGATTGCAGTGAGCCAAGATTGCGCCAGTGCACTCCAGCCTGGCAACAGAGTGAGATTCCATCAAAAACAAACAAACAAACAAACAAAAAAACCTTGCCCCACAGGTTTTCTGTCTGTTCTTCTTCACAGTCTCAGACTCTTGTCCCCAGAACTCCAGTGGGACTTATAAGCCACCAGATAGGAGCAAACTTTTCAGCTGTGCACAAAGGGGCAGATAGCACATGAGACAGACTATGTTTGCAGGCATTTACTTTCTAGTTTACAGTTGACTTTTATTCTGGCTTCTTCTTGACTAATTTTTGATCATAGACCACTCAGAACAGCACCTCTGCTTCAACCAAATGCAGCACAATTTAACCATAACATTGCAGAATGACATTTTTTGGTTAGGCAGCAGAAGTATTTCCCTTAAGTGCAGTTTCCTTGGTGAAGCCACTTCACCCCAGCCCAGCCTTCTTCCTTCAAGGGTTGTACCTAAAACTGGGTTTGACACCCACCAACTGGATGAAGGTGGGGTGCTAGAACCTTGAGAACCCTTTGTTCAACCAAGTTATTGTTATGCTTCTCAGGGTGGGGAGCAAAAGGAAACTCATTTCTAATGCATTGTTTGGGCCATAAAGGGAGCCACTTCAAGCTGCCTATTTTTCCCAGCGATGCATTTTTAGTGTTTGATGAGTTGATGCGTATAAAAAAAAGACTTTGCTCAAATTAAGACGGTCAATCCCTAATCAACTCCTTTTATGTTCTTGGTCAGTGTTTATTAACAGTTCCTTAAAATGTAAAGCTTTTATGGTCCCCAGGATTACATATATTTGATGCTTTTAGGATATATTCATTTATTGACACTCAAAAATAGCCACATTCTATAGGAGATCTACTATGTGTCAGGCCAACTTACTTTCTAACTCACAAAATGCTGCAAAATAGGAATTATTTTTTCCTCTCTCCTCACTCTTTGTAAATACATGAGAAAACTGAGGCTTAGAGGGATGAAGAGAGAGCTAGTCAGTGGTGAAGCTTGGAGTGAATCTCAGGATGTATGATTTCTAAATTATGCCATTGCCCCTCAGTTTTCTGACTAAAAGTGTGTGGAAAACACCAGATCAGCTGCCTTTCTGATGAAAAATGAAGCCTATATCTTCTGAAATTAAGATTCTGGCACAGAAAGACATAAAGACTATAAATATAGGCCAGTGATAGCAACAATACTAATTAGATGAAATTAAAGATGCCACTAGGCGCTATGTTCAATATCACCTTACAATGCCCACTGGCAAAGGTTCTCCAACTGTGACCTACAAAATGCCAGTGTTTCCTAGGGTAGTCTCATATAATATTCAAGATTGTTTAGAGTAAAGTATTTATTCAACAAATACTTGCTGAAAGTTTGTGCATTGTATTCCCAACATCCAATTGGGTACTGAGCTCTAGCTGCTGAGGACACACTGTGAGCAAAACAGAAGCAATTGTATCCTCAGGGCGTTTATAGTCTAGAGGGCCATGCAGATATTATTCTAATTGAGTCAAATATAAAAAGAAAATAACAGTTGTCATTGTGTCTGGAGCTAATTCGCATTTTGCTTGTGAGATTCTTCTTGGCTGTCTCATTAAATCAGCACCCCTCTGCTCATTTATTCTGGCGAAACATTTCTTTTTCAGCCACAAATAGGAGGGAGGATCTTTGGGGACTTCTGCCATGGTAGGATGGTCTGCAAACTGAAGATATTTGAGAACCACTGAACTATAGCAAGATTCTTTGAGAATTGCATTAGGGAACATTTCAATTGCCTGTCTCTTTTTCTCAGGGTTTGTATGTCTGCAGGCAGAGAATGTGAAGGCCAAGGTCAAAAAGCAGTTAGCTTCAAGCTTAAGTGGGAGAAATCAGTGTTGCCTGATTCCAGAAAACGCAAAAATAGATGCAAACTTAGGTATTTTTATCTTGCACCATATATGTTAAATAAATGTTTATTTCTGACCACACAAAAATCTTTCCCTCTTGAGAGCAATTATCTGCCTATTAAGGCTTCTATTCTTGGGATAGTGAACTTGAAGCTTTAACTGGGTTCTTAAATCTTTATGCTAAAAGCATCCTACATATTTTCCATTGGAGTGTGGAGGTAAGTGTTTATTTAAAGAGGCCAAAAGGGTGCATCCTGCTTGAGCACAGGCTCTAATGTTAATACTATAATTTATACTCTCCTCTTATGCATCAATGGCAGAAAGCACTCTGTTGTTCAACTCTGATGTCCCAATCTTTATATGGACTGAATGCATCATTTTGAGCAAAAGAAGATTAAAGATGTTTTGTTAAAAGAAAGACATTTGGCTGTTAAAACTGGGCATCTCCCATTGGATTCCAGCCTCTCATAAAACACAGAAATAAAAATAAAAACAAAGCAATGAAACATACAGTTTATTCCTAAATGCTGTGGACTCCAGACTGTCACCTACTTGAAAGGGGGCAAAGCAAAGGAGAGGACAGAGCTTGAAGCTGGAAAAGAAAAAAAAATGTAGAACTTTTGTTAATGTATAGGCATTCAACTCCCACTGTTCATTAACACACATATTGCTAACGCTTGGCAATGAAGCGGACATTTTTCTTGAGTGGGGTCGAAAAACTAATTATTCGCCATATGGTGGTTGGCGCAGCAACAATTGCTGAAGCCGTGGAAGCAAAGGGAAGTTGGCCGAGCGATTTCTTTGGGCAGTTTGCACAGCTCTGACTCTCTTGACATATGCCATTCACGTGGCCTCTGGAGAACAGATGGGCTGGGGCTGGGAACGCAGGGGAAATCGTGGCTGGGATCTAGTGGCAGCCCTGTCTCTTTATCCTTCAGAATGACTTGGAGTCACATGGTATGTGAAAATAACAAGTGGGGAATTGTACTCAGAGGATTTCCCTGCCTTCTTTTATAAAGCCACAGCGTAATTTTGACTGCCTTTTCGTATTTTGTTTATTAAAGGGATCAGGGTTTTAGATGAAAGAGATTCCTTGGTTTTGGGTAGGGTCTGGTCTATGCCAATGACACTTACTCATTGTCAGTAGGAAAAATGCTGGCAGTTTGATAAGGGATAAGAAAATAGAGGGGTTTTTAAATTAAAATTTAAATTACTCCTTATTTGTTCTCTTCCTGTTTGTAAATCTCACATAGGCAAGTTAAGATAAGAGCTGGTTTAAACTCAGGATACGCCAATCTCCTGAAATGAGTTTGTGTGGGTTATTATAATTTTTTTGTTCTTCAGAGGTTCTGATGCAGCAAAGTTGGAAGTAATATGAACATTGTACAGGCACAACTTGGATGCTTTTCGGATTTTACATTGTCCCAAAAGAAACAATATGGAAAAAGGAGGTGAAAGTTGCCAATTAGAAATTAACTCAGCATTCATATGCATAAAAGTACAGATTAAGCTAAAATTGTTCACACTCAGTGACTTAAATTTTAATTAAGAAGCAGCGCTTGAAGTTAGGGCACTGAAGTCATAGCCCCAGGCAGGCACTTATGCTGCTGTTATAACTCTGGTTCTTGTAGTAAATATGAGGCATTGTTCATGGTCTTAATTCTGGAGATTGATTTCCAAAGCTAACTCCCCACAAAGAGAAATGAGTGTCCTGGATACTTATGACAGTGACTCACATTTTGTGTGCTTTTGAAAGCAAAGTGGCTTGATTGAAGAATTACAGGCCAAATTTTTTTTTTTATCTTTTTACATTTTGAAATTCTATCTCTGAAAATTTGGTTCTAGTACAACCAGATAATATTGAAAGAGGACCCTGATAATTTTTCAACTCATCTTGGATGTGATGTTCTGAGTTTTTAGAGCCAGGGCACAGTTTATCTGCTATAGCTATAAATGGAAAAAAATGGTTTTATTCTTCTTTGTTTCTTCCTTGCTTCTGAAATTGATTTTTAACTTTCAGTAAGTCTAATATAATTTAACTATTTGGAAAATTAAAGCTGTGTTTTTCTAAAGAGTGAGCTTTGTAGTTCCTTGTTATGTGAATTAAAGTCAGGTAAAATTCTAGTTTCTGACAATGGCAATAATGACTGACATTTATTGAGCATTTACTATGTAACAAATACTCTATAAAAACTTTATACATATGATCTCATGTAACCATCACAACCACACATGTGGACATTGAGACCCAGAGAGAGTAACTAACTTGCTCAAAGTCAGATAGCCAATAAGGAATGGAGAAGCAATTCAAAACTAGGTCTGTCTGATTTCAAAGTTCATCATCTCAATCACTCTATTATACTGCCTCTTTCTGAAGGAGAAATGTGGCAACATTAGAGGTTGTGGTAATGAGATGTAGAACCTGCTCAGACTGTTATTAGGCGAATGTCCATCACTCTCTTCTTAAATTTGTGCCATTTTTTTTAAAGGCCTGATGGGACAAGCATAATCGGCATTTTTCATCTTCATTGCTTACTATCTGAAATTCTTCTCTTTGTCTGCTAAGCCTTCGACTTATGTGTTACACAGTTTAAAGTGGCTTCCTAAATGTTCGTTTGATTCTCAAAACAGAGGGGCAGACCTGCTAATCCAGGGTCAGCAAACTTTTTCTGTAAAGGTCAAGATAGTAAATATTTTAGGATTTGCAGGACATTGGTGGACTGGATTTGGTCCATGGGCTATAGATTACTTACATCTTAATTACATCTGTAAGGAACCTATTTCCAAATAAGGTCACATTCACAGGTACCAGCAGTTGGGACCTTTACATATCTTTTGTGGGGACACAATTCTACCCAGTACGTAGCCTGGGACAGGCATTACTGAGGATACATTGGCAGACAATCTAGACACAATCTTTCCTTTAAGAAGCTCCTATTGATCTGGAGATAGACAAGCTCATAACCAAAATATTTTCAGGTAAGGATGAGTGCTATTAAAGAAAATCAAACATGGTCACAGCACTAAGACTCGGGTGGCTATTACAGCTGGTTTGTTGAGGACTTTTAAAATGGGTGTGTCAGCTGCATCTCTGTGCTGTTCTCAGTCTCCCATTTCATATCCCCAATCTAGTCTGCACTTCACTGTCTAAGAAATTGGCTCAAACACCCAATTGTACCACCCTGACTTATGCCTTTGGGAATCAATTTACATGGTGAGTGTGCTGGACAGGATACCACTTACTTTATGAACTTGGAGCAAGTTACTTTAAAAGAAAGCTTCAGTTTCATTACGCGTGAAATGGAATGATGGTGAATGTTAAGCATGCTAGTGTGTGTCAAGTGCTAAGTCCAGATCCCTGCACTTAGGTCCTCAGTGAACAGTCACTCCCCATTGTGAGCATGGTTTCATTTTGCCTTTTCATTCTCTTTCTACACCTCTTTTCTTTATACTTCCCTTTGCTCAAACCACTTTCATTGTCATGCTCTTAATTTCTGCTTCTATATATTTCCTAGAATTCCCTTCTCCTAATTTCTATTAATCAAGGTCCTCCCCATTCTCCAGAGCCCAGTTCCATTGCTGTACATTTTCCCCTGTTCTCACTATTGCATAGAACCAACTCTTCCTTGTTCTAATTCTCCATAGGAGTTCATGCTTCCTGCCTATACTGCTATCCTGTGTCTTCCCCCTTGTGGGCAATGACTATAGATACCCTCCTTATCTATTTAATTCCATGTATCTAGGCTGCTGACAACCTTGCCAATGCCCAGCCTCCTGAGAGGTGTCCTGTGTCCGGCTGCCGCGCTGCGTGGTCTCAGAGTTGTTTTGTTCAATTTTGCATTGTCTCTACACCCTGCAGTCCTTCAAGACACAGTTACCTCTGCATTGTAATTCTTGTCAACCCTCTACATGAGTAAACTGGGACCACATGTTCCTCCTCTGTTCCCCTTCAGCTCCCTGGACTTGCCTTACCTTTACTTCTTGACAGTGTGTGGGAATTAATGTCCTTTCACCAGACTGTAAAGTCAACAAGAGCAGAACCTTGCACAGTCTCTGCCACAAAACAGTTACTCAAACATTTGATGAAGGAATGAAGAAATGAATGAATAATTCCTTGCAGTTGAAGTAGCTGATGATTGGATCAGGGTTAATCATGAAATACTATAGATGGTTCTCGACTTTACTGATGGCTGGATTTACAATTTTTTGACTTTATGGTGGTGTGAAATCATGGCAATATTGACATAATATACAATATTCAGTAAATTTCATGAGCTATTCAACACTTTGTTATAGAATAGGCTTTGTGTTAGGTGATATTGCCCAACTGTAGGCTAATGGAAGTGTTCTGAGCACATTTAAGGTAGTCTAGGCTAACCTATGATGTTCAGTAAGTTAGATATATTAAATGCAGTTTGACAGGATATTTTCAACTTATGCTGGGTTTATTGGCACATACCTCATAATAAGTCAAAGAGCATCTGTATATCTTTTATTTAGAGAATTGGTTTATTTTATTAAGAAAAAGCCATGTATTAGCAGTTATGAGTCTTAAATATCATTCTAGGCTCCCTGATTATCTTTGGCTACTTTCTGTACTTTTGTAAGATAAATATTTATTCAGTAGCGGACTTCAATTTCATTTGCCTTATCAGGTATTTGCTGTGTGTTAGAACTGTGTTTGAAGCTGTTGGTGGGATATATTAGTCATATTCTCTTTCCCTAAGGAATTCATAGGCTGTGGTAAATATAGATAGTCCTTGCAAACAAGAGAATCCAGGTAAGAACATAGAGAACTATAATTCAAGATTATATAGGTTGTGAAAAGTAAAGCTCTGTGGGGAGTTAGAACAGAGAGGGCCACCAAAAAATAATACTCCTGGAAAGCAAGAGATAAAGATTTAAGAAGAGTTGTGATAGCGGACAAATGGCCTTTGTCCTTTCACATAGAGTCATGCTTTTCATGGCCGACTATCTGAAACAAATTCAGTCCCATATACTGCCTGTATGTTCTGAACCCAAGTAGCCAACCACTTCAGGTTATAGCTAATGGTTACAGATTATCCAGAATTTAACACTGAGGGATTTATTGAGACTAATGAGACTAATCCTGTTAGAATTCCGTATGTACCGCTGGGAGTAATTCCCGTACCTCCAATGGAACTCCCTCCTCATTCTTAAATTTGCAAAATAAGATAAAACAATATGACAATTATTAGTGGCATTTAACACAGATACAGTCTCTAAAACCAAGAGCCACATCCTTTGTACACAGGTTCATCTGGAATTGGGTAGGCTTATTAAATTCTTTTAAATAGATTATTAAAAGTAACTGATATAATCCCAATTAAACACTATAAAAATAATAAATAATGCTTGCTGTCGGTCTGAATGTGAAGAAAGATATTATAAAATTATGTGAGGGTTATTTGCTAATTATACTTCATGTAATACTTCATATATTTCTATAATTGAAGGAGTAAATGAGCAAAGGAGGTCCCACAACATTTTTCTCTCTCCAAAAATCTTCAAAGAATATGTATTGGCATGGGAAATGTCTAATGATGTGAAAAATAGAATACTAAATTATCTGTATTATTATAGTTATAATACAGATATGTCAGTGGATATACATATGTGTCATACAATTTATGTATATAATATTAATATATATTTATCACAATTTTCTATTAATATTTGTCTATTTGTAGCAATAGAAAGGGGGAAAGCTGGAATAAAAACAGCACAAAAATGCTTATAGTGGCTATGTACTTTTCCCCCCTTTTCCTTGTCTTTTCTTTGCCAAATTTTGTACAATGAATATGTAGGCTTCTATCATTAGAAACTAAAAGCCTTTGTGTTTTGTAAAGAGCAGTGGCATCATTTAGTTGAGTCTCTTTGGGCCTTTTTTTTTTTTTAAGCAGGCCCGAGTCCATATTCTTAACACACAAGTGAGATTTTTAATTCTTTTTTTAATTTTAATTTTTATTTTACTTTAAGTTCTGGGATGCATGTGAAGAAGGTGCAGATTTGTTACATAGGTATACACATGCCAGGGGGGTTTGCTGCACCTATCAATCTGTTGTCTAGGTTTTAAGCCCCACATGCATTAGGTATTTGTCCCAATGCTCTCCCTCTCCTTGCTCTCCACCCACCGACAGGACCTTGTGTGTGATGTTCCCCTCCCTGTGTCCATGTGTTCTCATTGGACTTTCTTAGTAACCATTGAAACTATAAGGTGACATGCTGGGAGATGTTAAAAATACTTTCATAGAAACATATGGCCCCTGCATGATGAAAAGGATAAAATGAGAGCCTTCTCTGTGTCCCTGATGGGTTATGTGCCACCTCCTCATACTGCCATAGCTCTGAATGCATGCCTGCGTCCCTGCCATAGCTCTGAATGCATGCCTGCGTCCCTGCCATAGCTCTGAATGCATGCCTGCGTCCCTGCCATAGCTCTAAATGCATGCCTGCATCCCTGCGCTTATCACTGCATGTCACCATCTCCTCTGAATTTATTTTCACCCTCACCAGATCAGGATATTCTGAAGGGCAGGAACTGTGCTTTAGTTATCTTCATATTCCCAGTATTTGAAATAGTACCTGGAATAGAGTAAGGGCTCAATCATTATTTTAAATTCAGAAATGTTCAAGAATACAGAGGAGGCACATCTCTCACTCCTTGCAAGGTACTGAACTCCCACTGTTGGAATTAGGCCATTTTCACTTTCACCCAGACAGACTCCCTTCCTCAGCTTTCTTTCAATAACATGGCTTGCATACTCCTGGAGATGGAAACCTACTGCTCTGAGAGGTCATTCATTTCACTATGGCCCACTGGTATTTACTGGAAAGTTTATCTTTCTAGAGAATAAAAATGTTTTCTGTTCAATAAATGCTTTCACTCAATGGAACTGAACTTTGTGGAAAGGATTGAGTTTTGGGGGAGGAGAAGAGATGCATCTTCCTATTGTGAAAGAGGAATTTGCTGAAGAAATGGTGAAGGACGTACTGGATGAGGATGACTTTAATAAAATCTTGTTTTCCTATATGATACTATTTAATATAGCTGACATAGATTGAATTTGGATATAGGATAGTTTGTTACTTTTATCTGCTCAGCAACTAATATTTCATTTTTTTTTTCAAGTAACATCTCCCTCCTCCCGACTCTCAGTTCCTATAACTTGGGTGGGGCTAAGCCTACTCCTAATTTCCAGCAATGAAATCAGCACATAACTTGAATGAGTCCTATTAGAGCATTTAGTTCTCCCTGCATTGTGATATTGGTTCAGGGGTCGATATCTGAAGGCAGGCCATAAGATGTTATCTTTGCATTTTTGCTGGAACTATTGAAAAGGAGGGATATTTTTCCCTTGATGAGATTGCTAACATGTTATGATGTTGACCTAAAATACTGGTGACCATTTATCACCATGAAGAAGGAGGCTGCTTGAGAATTAGGCCAACCTGAAAAAAATAGTGCTGAGAGATGGAGTCAATCCTAATGATATCACTTCTACACACTTGAATTCAGCCATTTCTGAGTCAAGATCTTCCTGGAATTTTCAGTGCAAAATAACAAACTCAATTTTTTGCTCAAGCCCATTTGAGTTGGATTCTGGTTACTTGCAATGAATGGAGTCCTGTTTAATACAGAGGAGGTCTGTTCTTACTCTTTCCCAGATACTGAATTTCTAGTGTTGAAAATGTCTTTGGAATTGACATTTCCATTCTCTACCAGAACAGACTCCTTTCTTCAACATTCATTCAATTATTTTAACAATATGGCTTGCATACTCCTAGAGATAGATGCTGTGAGAGGTAATCCATTCCACCACATCCTACCTGTATGTATGGTAAATATTATCTTTCTCCAGAGAATCAAAATGTTTTATCTGGTGACTTCAACACCTGGTCTTAATTCTGTCCTCTAGAGCAACAGAGACTAGAGGTTCTTTTTCTTTCCATATTTGTATGTCACTATAAATCATTGCCTTTCCTCAACCAACCTTACTTTCTCCAGACTGAATATCACTTCTTACTTTTATACACTTTTTCTCCAAGTGTGGTCCACAGACAGCATTTTCAGATATAAATCAGTCTATTATTTAGATTTTTTTTGTATCAGTATGTCACATGCAATATATTCATGGCTTTTCTGAAATTCAGGTTTAACTTGGTTTCCTATATAGTTTTATTTGTTAAATTTGGCAACCCTATGCCCAGAATACCTGTATTGGAATCATGCTTGGGGCTTCTTACCCAAGAGGTCCTGACACAAAAGCTGTACTCTCGTTCACTGAAGCTTGAAAACCACTTCTTTAGGGAGAAACTCGAGGCACAGGGGTAGGGAGCAGACAGGAGAAACCGGAAGGTCCCAGCCCGAGTATTCCAGGAACCTGGGATCTCCAGCTTCCAACTGCTGTGCCCCTACCTCGTCCCCTCCCTGCCAGGAATGTAACTATTTCTTATACTCCTACATATCCTACTTTGGGCATTCTGTTATTGATTAATGTTCCAAATTTTGAAACTCTTAAAATAAAGCAATTTCTAGCAATATGTATTGAGTGCTTTTAATATGCTGGACACTGGTCTAGGCAGTAAACAAAAATGCCAAAGACCTTGCCTTATGGAGCGTACATTCTAGTGCAGTAGCCAGACAGTAAACAAGTAAACAAACAAATATAATTTTAGGCAGTGCTAAGTCTTATGAATAAAAGTAAATCAGGAACAGGGTAAGGAAAGAGCAGTGCAGTTCAGAGGTGTCATTTTAGAAAAGGTGACCAAAGAAGGCCTCTCTGAGGACATAAGTTTTGTGCAGCTTGAAGGAGACAAGAAGATTGAGCCAATGTCAATGTCTGGGAAAGTAGCATTCTAAGCAGAGGGAACAGCAAAAGCATGGAACCTGGGTAGGAACAAGCTTGGAGCAGTCAAGAAGCAGGAAGAACGCCACTGTGGCTGGAGTGGAGTGCAAAAGGCAGAGGGTGGTAAGGTATGTAAGTAGAGCGGTAGGAAGGGGCTAGATCATGTAGGGCCTTGTGACCATAAAAATAAATCTTAATTTTTCTGTAAGTGTAATGGGAAGCCATTGGAAGGCCTTGAGCAAGGAAGCAACAGGATCTGATTTAGCTTTTAAAAGGATCCCCCTGGTGGCTCTATGGAGAATAGACTGAAGAGTCTATGAGTGGCCGCTGGACCTTGGTTGTGAGGTTATTGCAGAAGTCCTGGCTTTTATCTTTGACAAGCCTATCTTGTTCTGCTGAGCTTCTTTCAATTCTTTCAAGAGCCCCATAATATAATGGTGAAAGAATATTGGTTCTGAAGCCCAATCACCTTGTGTCTGAATCCTGACTCTGTCAATTAGTAAGACATTAGCCAAGATTCTTAACCACCATGGGCCTTGTTTTCTTTATTTGAAAAAATGGAGGGTAATGATAACCTCATCAAATTGTTGTGAGGAAATTAAATTAGTTAATACAAGTAAAATAGTTTGAACTATTCCTGGCACATCATGAGTGTCCAATAAATATTATTATTGAGCACAATGTACTCTTTCTTGTCTTAGGATGCTATTGTTCATTTTTCTCCAATTCATCAGAGAATCGCTCATTCTCTGATGCTCATTCTCCATGCTTTAAGTTGTCACAGGAAGCATGCTCATTCTCCATGCTTTAAGTTGTCATAGGAAGCCCTCCATATCATTTCTGCCACGTTCTGTTGGGTAAAACAAGCCACAAATCCAGCCCAGATTAAGGAGGAGGAAAACAAGCTCTATCTTAATATGGGGCAATGTCACAGTGCAAAGGAAGGGTGAAGAATTGGGGCCAATATTGCAAACCACCACCACAGATGCCAAGACAACCATGCTGAGAGAACTGTTGACAAATGCTTGCTAAAGCACACACTTATGTTTATTAAAGGACCCAAAGAACTTTGTCCCAAGGCAGCTTCAGCATGATGTCATGACCTTCAACCTTAGTATGGCAAGACTCAGCCTTCTTGTCATCGAGAATACTGGCTGTTTGCTTAGCCGTACTTGCTACCTTCTAAATGGTAAAGTGGCCAAAAGCAGTCTGGGAGGCTGATGATGTGAGAGAGAACCTGTAGTTGGGCAGGCACATGCACTTTGAGCCACATAATTATTTATTGGTAGAGATAACTGTGACTGGATGCCAGATCGGAGCAGTGTGGGGCCGCAGAGCCTAAGGTCTGTAAGCATCAGATGCTTTCAGTGCTGCCATTCTTGCTTTGCCACAAGAACGTCGTTCAAAAAGAGAGTCCTTCTCTCTGCCCATGAATAAGGCCTGCCTGCCAACACCAGTTCCAGCTGTGAACATGTAATCAGTTCTTCTATGTCCCCAAAAGGGTGGTCCCAGAGGCCTAAATTTAATTTTCATGCATATTTGTCTTCTCTCTCTACTTTATGCAAACACTACTTAGTTGCCAACACAGGCGCCAACTGTTTTGTTTGGATAATTGCTCGAAGTCAACCCCAACTATCAGGAGCTCCCTTTTACAGAAAGCACATTTTTGTTAATTTTCGGTTAACCAAATTATATCTTCCTTCAGTACCTCCTTCAGGGTTTCACCAATAATTTCTGCAAATATTTGATTCATTTTGAAATAGTTCAACACCAATGTCAGGTTTATTATCCTCCATGTTAGGTCATTGGAATGAGCAAGGGAAACAGGAGCTCTGCAGCCCCATGGATCATCTGCCACTGCAGTTTTTTCTTCCAAATAATTCTGTATTAGTCTTGCCATAATCACCTGGTCCTAGAGTGGCTGTAAGAACCGAAATGGAGATTTGTGGCCATAATAGGGATGAGGGGACAGGGAAAAATGAGCACTTGTAAAACAAAGATCTTATTTTTATGGAAATGAATAGAAACTCTGAAGTAAGGATGAGACATATGGAATCGCATAAAATATGAACAGAACATTTTAAAATAGCAGGTCCTCAAAAATACTCCATATGGCCCAGTAGTATTTAAGGTAACAGAAAACAGTTCATGTTGCAGCTGCAAGCATTCATTCCTGGGGTTCAGGACTCAGTTCACAAAACTATACTTTCCAATTTGTTTTCAAGAATGCTTCCTTTGTCTAACTCTTGGGACTAATTTTTTTGGGTGAGTCGGAGACTTAATAAGTTATTAATTAATATCTGTAATTTTAATTAATTGTATTTTATTATTAATAGAGTGATAAATTACTCATAAGTTATTATCTCTTCTTCTACTCTACTGAATCAGTAGTTACAAAACTTACTGCAGTTTTAGAGCCTATTTAGAGTTTATAGGCTCTAAATGTTACAACATAATAATATTGTAAGTGCTTATGATTAAAACATAAATCTAAAAATGATACAGGACATTAAAATGACATCTCCTAAAAGTGCAGTTGACACATACACACTTCAATGCTAATCAACAACTGCTACCTAAAGAGTAAAGAAGTTACACATTTTAAAGAAAATTTTCTGATTTTTTTGCCATAGTGTTAAAGAGGATGTGGGAAAATCAGTGTGAACACCAAATGAATTTCATTATATAGAACTCTCTATAGATAAAATACATCTCAATATACTTTGTGCCCTGTAGAAAATAAGATAAAATTTATTCATCCAATATGATACTAAGTCATGTTGAATGACTGCATTATAATATGTTATATGCCAGGCTTACCAAAGGGAGTATTTCTTTTTAATATCTTGGGCTGGGGTGTAACTCAGTTCTTTGGATACTAGCTTTCTTTTTTCTTATTTTCATTTTAAATTTGAATTCCAAAAATAGAAATATCAGAAGAAAGAGAGAAACATATACTCTCACACAAATGTAATGAATCTACTTTTACATATTCGAGAGAACATCTACTTTTCTGATAGTGAGCATCAGAAGTCTCATTCTTACTCCTTTCTTTAAGTTTGTAAACTCTGCCAGGACTATAACTGTGCTATTGTGTTGACATTCACTTCTTCATTTTATTTTGTCTGCACAGTCTTGATCTGCTAATTTCATTTTTCCTGTTGCTAAACTGTATTTTTTTTGGATGAATTGACTGTATGTTTGGCTTTGTGTAGACATAGCTACACTGTAAGTTGGCCCCTTAATTCAATAATTCACCATGAAGACTGGTTTTCATCCTCACTGTGTTGAACAGGCATCTAATCAACCATTAATTTCCTTTTTGTTGGATGAACATAATAACTATTTCTGTCTTTCTTTCTGATGGGAAACAGAGGCAGAGAGGATCATGGGTTGCCGTAAGTCAGAAAGGGAGGCTGTAGAAATCCGCTTCAGGAGTTGCCCTGATAGCATTTAGGAGTCATACAGCAGGAAAAGGCCAGAATTTGGAGGTAAAAAAAGAGTTGGAGGAAAACTAATGGAAATATATATACATATATGTATATGCATCTACAGGGCACTAGACATGGTTCTAGGTACTTTATAGCCCAGTGTAGAAGATTGCTTCTACCAATGAAAAGTTGGGCAGCCTTAATTTCTATAAGCCTATTTCTTCATCATCTGCAGAATGGAACAAATAGAATGGAACTGAGCAGTATTTTATAACCAGTAGGAAATATGCAATCATGCATTATTGTTACCTGGGGCATTGTCATTGTTACTTTTGTTTTTTGAATTCACTAAGAGATGGTAATAAGTTTGGCCATATTTATGAGGATAAAACAAGTCTTCACAACTTATCAAAGTATCTTTTTCATAAGCATCCCATTTTTTTAAGAGAAATAACAGATTAACCTAATGCACTCTTACGAATTTGGACATTTGTGGTGGTGAGACCAGTTTAAACGTTTTTAAAAAATGCAGTTTTAGTTAATGAAATACAATAACAGCAACTAATTTATTAAAGTTATTTCGATAAGACATTACCGAGATCTATCTGAAGTACGCTGGCCAAAAAGGGAAGTGGCTCATATATCCAAAGCACATGGAATTTGGGGTGAGGTTGGCCTCAGGGAGGCTCTGAGCCAGGATCTTCAGCAGTCCTGAGACCTCCATCTGTGCCTCTCATTCTTCCTGCATGTCATCTTCTTTTGCTCACTGTAGCCTCTGCAGTGAAAACAGTGAAATATGAAAACATGGTCTCCAATAGCTGCCAGCATCTGCCCCAGAAAGGTACTGAGATGTGGTCTGTTAAGTCCTAAGAAAAAAAAAATCCATCAAAGGAGTCTAATTGTCCAAGTATGAGTGCAAGTTGCACAAACCTTGACCAATCAACTGTGGATGGGGGTAGGGTATCACCTTGGGTGATTTTCCCATTGCAGCCAGAGAAGGGAAGACTCTAGAGTAAGGAAGTTCTCATTTAAACTACTTAGAGTAGTAGGATCATTGGCTTAAAGAAAGTTGTGTGCGTGTGCGTGTGTGTGTGTGTGTGTGTGTGTGCGCGCGCGCGCGCACGCACGCGCGTGCACATCTGAGAAGACAGAATAAAACATAATTACTATATAAGTTTAATAATGCATTGCCAACCAGAAATTTTTTTTTCTTTTATTATTATACTTTAAGTTTTAGGGTACATGTGCACATTGTGCAGGTTAGTTACATATGTATACATGTGCCACGCTGGTGTGCTGCACCCACTAACTCCTCATCTAGCATTAGGTATATCTCCCAATGCTATCCCTCCCCCCTTCCCCCACCCCACAACAGGCCCCAGAGTGTGATGTTCCCCTTCCTGTGTCCATGTGATCTCATTGTTCAATTCCCACCTATGAGTGAGAATATGTGGTGTTTGGTTTTTTGTTCTTGCGATAGTTTACTGAGAATGATGATTTCCAATTTCATCCATGTCCCTACAAAGGACATGAACTCATCATTTTTTATGGCTGCATAGTATTCCATGGTGTATATGTGCCACATTTTCTTAATCCAGTCTATCATTGTTGGACATTTGGGTTGGTTCCAAGTCTTTGCTATTGTGAATAGTGCCGCAATAAACATACGTGTGCATGTGTCTTTATAGCAGCATGATTTATAGTCCTTTGGGTATATACCCAGTAATGGGGTGGCTGGGTCAAATGGTATTTCTAGTTCTAGATCCCTGAGGAATCGCCACACTGACTTCCACAATGGTTGAACTAGTTTACAGTCCCACCAACAGTGTAAAAGTGTTCCTATTTCTCCACATCCTCTCCAGCACCTGTTGTTTCCTGACTTTTTAATGATTGCCATTCTAACTGGCGTGAGATGGTATCTCATTGTGGTTTTGATTTGCATTTCTCTGATGGCCAGTGATGATGAGCATTTTTTCATGTGTTTTTTGGCTGCATAAATGTCTTCTTTTGAGAAGTGTCTGTTCATGTCCTTCGCCCACTTTGTGATGGGGTTGTTTGTTTTTTTCTTGTAAATTTGTTTGAGTTCTTTGTAGATTCTGGATATTAGTCCTTTGTCAGATGAGTAGGTTGCAAAAATTTTCTCCCATTTTGTAGGCCAACCAGAAATTTTTAAAAAAACTTTCTAAAGTACTTAGAATTGTTATTTATATGTATTAATGCATTTGTGTAACAACTATAGAACACTCACAGAGCGTGGCATGCTAGGCACTGGGCTGGATTCAGAAAAACATAAAGATGCATATTCTTCCCTCTAATAACTTACAACTATTTTTTTTTAAAAAAGGTATACTCACCTAAGACATTCAGTTACAATGTGTCCAATGAGGATACAGCAAGAAATAACTGCAGTCATTCAGTAGACAGGGAGATTGTTGTGAGCATAAGCAGCAGATGAGATACATGCTTATTCACTAATCTTTTCCTTGATTTTTTTTTTCAAATCTCTTAACTAGAAATAAAGTCCAACTTTTTAAAAAGATGATATTTAATAACCAGAACCCCATATCTCTAATATTGAATGTAGAACCGTCTCTAAGCACAATTGTCAGTTAAGAAAGCTTGCTATTTGCTGTTAGGTTTAGTATTGAAATCATGTGACATAATTTAGCTCCATTCAGTTCTATCATTATAGTTTGCTTTGCATAACATTTAACCAAATGTGGCGTTGTCAGTAAACTCAGGCCTTTGAGTAAGTTCTCTTTTACTAACTGTATCAACAGTCTAAATCTTACTGATGGAAATTTCATGGATTTACCGGTCTTTACTATTAAGAAGATGCTTGAAGACTCTGAGGCGTTAAAATATGTGATTTCTCTTCTCAGTGTGGGAAATTATGCCTATTAGAAGGAGATACCATTTGGTGTAATGATTACATGTTATTAAGTTAATATTTCTATTGGGTTGCCTGATTATTCTAACCCCCTGTGGCCTTGAGGTATATTCCTTAACCATTATCTCTCACCGTAATGTCTGCTGCTGCTTCAAAGAAGTGAAAGGATGTTTGTTGAAAGAGGATATCATCACTCAAGATCATCTGCCTTGTTGGTGTCACCTGTCAGCCTAATACATTTATGTGGACAGCAGTAGGTTCTGACAGAACTTATAACGTTTTCTTTCTCGGTTGTGAAATATGATGGATGTGCCATACCGGTGACCTTTGCACAAGGCCACATGTTAATATTCAGGACCTCCCTTTTGTTGGCCTTGAACAATGGCTGTCATTAAGGAAGCTTGCTTTGCCAATATGCCCTCTGTTAGGATGCTGGACCACTCCTGATTGGTCACCAGGAAGTATCATGTGCCTTTGATGGAAATGACATGGAAGATGTATGGTCAAAGTGCTGTGCTCAGCACCACTGCTGTGCGAAGGAGAAAACCACTATGACCCAAATAGCCCTGCACTCAAACAATGTCGCACCAACCAAAGACAACATATTGGGAAGAAAAATGCTTGTAAACTGCATGTGTTAGAAGATGTATTGGCCAGACGGCCATAGGGCAATCTTTGAACTATTGAAATCTTTAGAAATATTGTTTGGTTCTGAAACAATACTTACAAACCTAATTAATCAAGCATAGATGGTTTATTTTCAGGCTTTCCACAGTGTGTTGCTTTAATGCAAGAATAGGGTCTGTCGAGTTCTTTTGCTGTTTCACAGGGGCATGCAAAAACTCAGCATGGGTATTCTTGTTCATACAAGTTGAAGCTCTAAATTTCAAAATAATATCTATGTAGATCTCTGGTGATCCCTTCAACAAAGACTAGGGTTGGGGGTAGCCTGGATTTCTTTTTCAATTGTTTCTGACTCCCTGTGTGACTCTTTCCCCACTCTTCTCCTTAATTTTATTCATCAGAATTATTTATCCATAGGTTCATTTAAGAAAGATCATCATTCCTGTTGAATTCTCTAGCATGAGGGGAAAACATTTTCGCTTTTTTTCTTAAAGAATAAACACAGTGAAGGGTTGGTTTCCTGAATATGTGCTTTTGAATGATGTGATTTAAAAGGTTCACATATACAGCCCTTCGAATTTTAATATCAGCCCTTTTCCCATCTTAATATCATGTTTAAAAAGAGTCAGTGAGAAAATGTATGTTCTGAAGTGGGGAGAATGAAAGACTTGGAAACAGCCTCATATAAGAAAGCTAAGGTGTTGTCTGGACTAATAATGCAGGCAGGTAGCACAAGCCTTTTGTGTCTCCAGCAAGCTGTGGTTGACATAAGTTAATCATTTAGATGAAAGAATCATTCAAGTACTTAATTGCATGCAAAATACTGCTTCACCAGAGTTTTAGCACGATGTGAAATATTGCACTGGGGCATGGCCAGTTGAATTGTGTGAGTACAATTCCTGAAGGTCAAATCCTGGTTATTCATTTAGAGGCAGATTATTGACATTGTGGATTCTCCAAGAGCTCCCCACTGTGTCCTCCAGGGCTATGTCACTATTCACCAGCTGGTTAGAATACACGGGGCAGGAGAAAGGAAAGGGACTGAAACTCAGCCCACAATTATACAGTTTGTAAGCAATTCAGATGAAAGATTTAGTGGGAGGGGAGATGCTCAAGTTCATTCTTTGTCAGGAAAATACATATTAAAACCACAATGCAGTGCCATTTTCTACCTGACAGAGGCAAAAATTCAAAAAACAATTCAGGTAATAGCAAGTGTTGGCAAGGATATGGAACAACAGAAAACTGTATTCACTGCTTATAGGAGTGTAAATTGGTATAAACATTTTGGAAAACAATGGGTATTCTATAATAAGATTGAAGATATGCACACCCCATGACTTGGCACTCCTAGAGAAACTAGGGTACATGCACAAGAAGACATATACAAGGGTGTTCACAGAAGTCTTGTTTGTAATACTTTTTTGTTTTTTTTTGAGATGGAGTCTTGCTCTGTTGCCCAGGCTGGAGTGCAGTGGTGTGATCTCACTGCAACCTCTGCCTCCCATACTCAAGTAGTCTTCCTACCTCAACCTCTGGAGTAGCTAAGACTACAGGCACATGCCACCATACCTGGCTAGCTTTTTGTAATTTTTGTAGAGACTGGGTTTTGCCATGTTGCTCAGGCTGGCCTCAAGCAATGAACCCACCTTGGCCTCCTAAAGTGCTGAGATTACAGACGTGAGCCACCGTGCCCAGCATGTTGGTAATATTAAAACAAAAACAACATAAGACTGGGCTTCACCCCTATGTCTGTCAATAAGAGAATGGACAAATACATTGTGGATACTCATATAATGAAATTGGGTGGGTCTGGGGCTATTTATTTTCTTTTTGTATATGTTAACATGTGTATATATATACCCTTTTGTACATATGATATTAAGTTGTAATATGTGAAATGGCCTATATTTGACCATTTTTGACCTACAAAATACCAATTTCATGTGGTAACATAGTGTTTCAAAAAATAACTAAATGAAGTTCATTAAAGAAAAAAATGCTCAGTGTAGTTAAAAAAAACTACTCAGAATCTCATAGGCTTATTAAAATTGGAGAAGACTTTGGAGATCATTTTTATTTTTCTATAGATGGGGAAACCAATGCCTAGAGACATTCATTCAATGAATCAATGTATCCACTAGGACCAAATGCTCTGGCTCTCAGACCAATGTTTTTAAAATTATATCTCATGTTTGAAACAATTTGTAGTCTAGCCCAGACATTTAAAAATAAAACATTCCAATATAAATCTGTGTCCTGGGCTGGAGATTTTCTGTGATTTACATGCAACTGAATAAGGCTGATGATGTCATGGGGAAGAGGCGGTATCCTGGGAGGAGGATGAACTATATCTGAATACTCTGCAGTTATCTTCTGTTGCATGATGAGAGGCTGACCCATGTGTCCCTTTACTAGGAGAGAGGGGGTGGTTGAGTGATATTGGGAGAAAGAATATCCTTCTCTCAGAAGAAGGAAAAGGCACATTTATACTTAGCAGAGTGCCTGAGCTATGACAAATGCCTCTTCCTCTTGTAGCAAGTTTACTTTCCCACATCCATGGCAGATATCAGTAATTGCTCCATGAACAAGACACAGCCCTAGAACTCTTCTTGAAAAATTGATGCCACAACCAATTTTGGGGCACTGGTATTTGAGACAAAACTTGTTTGCCACCTTTGATGGGGGCAAGCCACTGTGGTGACTAGAGCTGGAATGAGTGACTTTGATAAACTGAGCAATGTGGACCAATCTCTGAGGAAAGAGAAGTGAAGTGGTTACCCAGAGGGAACTCTGCAGAAGAAGACAGAGGTGATATGGCGACATGGAGTAGGGTGACACTGTAATACTGAAGAGCATTCACTGGAGAGATGAGGGATTCATTCATTCATTCTTTTTTTTTTTTCCAGTATAAGTTTTTGAGAATTTACTATGTGCCAAGCGCTTGGGATATGGCTCAGAGCTGGTACTTACCCTCATGGGGCTTACATTCTAGTGAGGGAAATGAACATTAAACTTGTGAACAGTTACACATATGGTATATGGTTAATCAAATAAAAATAAAGCAGGAAAAGGAGACATGATGGAGGTCACAGGGGGCTTTTTTGGAATGAAACAGGCAGTAAGCTCTTTTAGGAGCAGTTACTTTTTAGATCAATCAAGAATGAGACAAAAAAAGATTTCATATTATTTATTCCTTCTCCAAGTCTTTTCTTTTTTATGTAGATGAGTTTATGACCTATATTATTTTCCCTTTCCCCAAAAAACTTCTTTTAACCTCTCCTGTGGGCAAGTAGGCTGGCAATGAATTTCTCATTTTTGTGTGTGTCTAAAACAGTCTTAGTTTTTCTTTTAGTGCTGAAGGATAATTTTACTGGATATAGAATTCTGGGTTGGTGTTTTCTGTTTTTCAATAGTTTATTTTATTCCACTATTTTCTTGCTCTCATGATTTCTGATGAGAAGTCTACTGTAATTTGTTTTTAAGTAAATTTTAAAATTGACAAATAAAAATAGTGTGTGTGTATATATACTATTTATATCAGTATATATATTGGTATCAGTATATATATATACAGTACTATATAGTACTGTGTGTGTGTGTATATATATACTGTGTGTGTATATATATATACAGTACTATATAGTACTGTGTGTGTGTGTGTATATATATATACTGCATCAGTGCATGTGTGTGTATATATACATAAAAGCATTTTGTCTGTGTGTGTGTATATATATATATATCTATAGTGTGAAGTGTGATGTTTTGAAATATATATACCTGTGGAATGGCCCCATCAAGTTAATTAACTTATGTATTATTTTACATACTTATCATTTTTTGTGGTAAAACCACTTAGAATCTACCCTCTTAGCGATGTTCAAAACACAATATGATGTTATTAACTGTAGTCACCATGTTGTTCAATAGATCTCTCACTGTAATTGTTATCGTCATTCTTCTATAAGGTGTATGTCTCCTGTAAATTTTCTAAATGTCCTCTGAGATGTCTGGATCTACTGTTTTGTGTCTGTCATTAATTTTAGGAAGTTCTTAACCATAATTATTTCATATATTTTTTTCTGCCCCATTCTCTCCCTCTGTTTCTCCTTCATGTATTACAATTATGTATATGCTGCACCTTGGAAAATTGTCCCACAGTTCTTGTATGTTCTGGGTTTTTTTTCTCTTTCCATTTTAGTTTGGGAAGTTCGTATTGACCTGTCTTCAAGTTCACTGATTCTTTGGCCATTTCCAAACTACAGATGAACCCATTGAAGGCATTTGTTAATTCTGTTACAGTGTTTTTTATTTATAGCATTTCTTTTTGATTCTGAGTTTTCATCATTATGTTTACCTTGCCATCTGTTCTTTTATGTTGTCTACTTGTTCTGTTAGAGCACATATTGATCGTATTTATTTTAAATTCTTTATTTGAAAATTCCAACATCCATGTCATATCTGAATTTGGTTCTTATGCTTGCTTTGTCTCTTTAGCCTGTATCTTTTTGTGCCTTTTGGTATGCCTCATAATTTTTATTGAAAACCAAGCATGATGTATCAGGTAATAGAAACTGGGATAAACAAATCTTTAGTATGAGGTTTTATGTTAATCTGGCTAGATGTCGGGTTGTGTTTAATGTTTGTTGTAGCTGCAGGGGTCAGAGGCTTCAAATTTGTCCAGTGTTCTTTCTTTTTCCTATTCTCTGGACTTTGAGATTCCCTAACTACCCTTTCACACAGAGAGGCTGCATCTTGCAACATATTTAGTTGTAATCCACCGTTATTATACTGAAGCCCTGTTGGTGTGATGATAAGGTATGGATGGAGGGGAAAGATTCTATAATCTTATGATTAAATCTCAGTCTTTTAGTAAGTGTGGCTGTGACCTTCACAAGTGTTTCTTAGCATTTTTTTCTCCCTCTTAGGTAAGTAAGACAAGAAGGCTAAAGGGGGCTGGAGTGGGAAAGATTCCCTTCCCTCGGCTAGAACAAGACCCTAATATGCTTTTGTTATGAAGAATTCCCTGGCCATGTTTCACAGTGATTACTCTTCTCTTCCTCCTGTCAAATCCAAATCTTCCTCCTGTCAAATCCATGACGGAATCTTTTTCAGACTTTCACCTTGGGGAACTGGTGGAGTTCCTTGAGGCAAAACTCACTAAAATATAGGTTCTCTCTAAACCTGGTCCCCAGAAGATTTTTATTCTCAAGCTAGTTCACAACTAGCCTCCTACAGCTCATCAAATTTATCTTTTAAATATTCCTACCAGTTTACAATTCCAGAGGCTTCTGCTCTAGGTAAACAGATCCTTGTTTGACTATTTGGATTCACTGTAAAAAACTACCAGGCACATCAAAGTTGCCATCACCTTTCACTGGGCAACTGCCGGCTGCCTTCTAAATTGCTTCTGCTCTCAAAACCCCTGGTTGCTTTCTATTGCATGTTGTGCAACATCCCAACACCTCTCCTGTCCTCCCAACACCTCTCCTGCCCTCCCAACACCTCTCCTGCCCTCCCAACACCTCTCCTGCCCTTTCCCTCCATCCATCTGGGCTGCTCTCAGTTCTGAAAACACATCTGTCTTTGTCAGGCTGGGATACTCTTTTTTTCCACTCCTGAAATGACTAAGCCCTTTTCAGCCTTCAGGCTAGTCTCAGATTGAGTATCATCTTCACAGGTCTCCACTCATGTTTCTCTGTCTCAGCACCTTGTTTTTCATTAATATCACTCACTACTATTTATAACCATGTAACTGTGGCCTGCTTTTGCCGCCTTCCCCCTGTAGATTGCAAGCCCCATGAGGGCATACATTTGCCTTATTCTGTCATATCTCCAGGGTCAAGCACAGGACAAGGCATATAGTAGGCATTCAATAAATATTTTTGAATGAAGAAATGTATAAGCTGAGGCAAACACTGCATGGATGAAAACGATATAATTTTCTACTTGAGTCCTTGCCACCGAAGAGGTCATTCAGGAGCTACAGAGGGAGAGAGGAAGGAAGTAATAACAACAACGATAATAACAGCTAAGATTTGTTAAGTATGTCCTATGTGGCAGGTACTGCTCTAAACTCCTGTTGTTTAATTCATTTAATCTTCATACCAATCCTGTGTGATAGATATTATCATTATTTTTATTTTATGAATGGGAAAACTGAGGCAGAGAACACTTAAGTAGCTGGGCCTAGGTAACAGGTAACACAGCTGGGAAGGGGAAAAGCATAGATTTGACTTGAGCAGTCTGGATCCAGTGCTTGTGCTCTTGGCCTCCAACCTCTGCCACCTCTTGGGTGTGGTGCATCTCAGACTCTTCCTTTGCTTCAACCCTATTAGCTTAAAAATGACTTTCACTCCCCAGTTAGCTAAAAAGCTGAATAGGAGATGGCAGCCTTCATTAAACCCCATTATGTGGTGTAAGAATACTTTTTAAAGCCTAACACTGGAGTTTCAGCATTAATAGAAAATCTATTTGAGGTTTATGTTGGACTTTAGATATGCCGGAGATGAAATCGATTAGCTTCAGGCTCTCATTTGTGCCTAGAGAGAAAGGCAAAATGAGCTTTGGGGAATTAATTGTCTCTGTTTCATTTCTCCTTTTAGGACAATTGCCTCTAGTTTTTTCATAACATGAACATGCTAGAGTTACAAGCATGAGAGAGAGGAAAAGACAGAGTGGAAAAATGAACACAAAGAAGTTATTTTTTAAGGGATAGCTACAAGAAGTGGGTGTGAAGTGGTCAGCTCGCTGGTATCTCAGAGGGGCTGAAAGTACAGGAGTTAACATATTTGTCTTTTTCTATTGTATCAAAACTGAAAATGAATACATCAGCATTTGTTATGATTTACCATGAACTGCTTTGCAGCTCAAAAGGAATGAGAAGTTGTTTCTGTAAAATAGATTCATTTTATTGTACCTTGAAATCATCTGCCACAATATTACTTCATATAAAATTGGCAACAGATGGAAGTCCTGTGCTGCAAAATAAGACACAGAGATGCTTACACATTAAAAGAACTGGTAAAACTTGAATATTTGGGAGAATTTTTTTAACAACCAAAACACCAAAAAAGCCCCAAGTGTATCAGTAGTTGGGAAAAGTTGTGCCCTTGCCTCAGTAGCCTGAGGAAGCTGGAGGACACGGTTAAGAATGTTGGTCCTCGAGAGGCAGATAGTTTAAACTCTGATCCTGCTCATTTTATTCATTGGAACTTTGAGCAATTTAGAGAGTGCTTGACCTTTTAAAGATATCATTTCTTCTTCTGTATGTTAGAAATAATGCTGATAGCATTTTCTGTGGGCCAAGGCATGGACAATAGAGCAGGGCCTGGCCAATGGTCAGTGCCCAGCCTTTGTTAGCTGTTAGCACCATGACCACTTGCATCCACCTCGCTTCATCAAGCCCAGTTCACGGGAGTCACATGTATCCTCTGGCACTACTGGCATTGATTGTGTAGTAGAAAAACAAAACTCTCCCCAAATCTGAAGACCTGGGTCCTAAACTCAGCTTCTTCACTGCCTAAGAAGGGAGTGTAACAAGACGCTTCCTCTCTTTGTATCTCTGTTTCCTCCTCAGTAACATAAGTAAGCCAGAGAGTTTTTGTGAGGCTCAAGTGGAGTTACTGGTATGAGAACAAAATGTAAAGGAACATGCAAGTTGTAAAGGAGCAAATAATGCTGGTTTCTGAAATGAGGACCATCGATAGAAAGATACCTGAGGAGAAAGACTTTGTCGATTTTATAGCTCTAGTATATTCATGATTGTTTGACTGAATAAAAATGATAATAGCACCTGAAATCTCTGATGAGTGACTGAGATCAGTAGCTCCCTGCCCTGATTATACATTTTCATCACTGAAGGATTTACCGTGAACAGATACTAGGGTCCCACTCTCACTGATTGGTCAAGGGTGGGAGCACGTGTTTATATTTTTAAAAGCATGTCAGGTATTGTCTGATGTGCAGCCAGGATTGAGAAATACTGTATTCAATGCAAGAGATGTGTCACGTAACAAAAAGCTCTGGACTTTAAGTCATGGGCTATGGATTTTGGCTCAAGTTCTGTCACTATCTAGAATGGTAGATTTGAAAAATTATAAGGAATACTATTAATAAAAGCCACTGGAGATTGCAAAAGGACTTTCCTTTTCCAACAGTCTCTGTTTCTGATTGTTTGATGCCAAAACAACTGGTTGCTGTAGCCACTTAGGCAACCTGGTAGTTGTAGTTGTATCATAGAGGTAACCCAAAATTCATTCAGGGATCTGAGACACTAGAAGGTTCTGGTTTGCTGAAGTTCATTTTGCAATAAATCAGCTGATCAACTTAGTCTTAAAAGGATCACTTCTATTGGCCTGGGTAATCACTGGGGTAGTATCTAGTATATGGTAGAAACTATAAATATTGATTGAATAACTAAATAAATAAGCGTAGTCACCACCTGTCCCAACATCATACCTAGTGGCTTATTAATTATTCCCTGTACTTAAGTATAAGGAATACACACACACACACACGCACATGCATACACACAATGCCTGTTAATATTGCAAATACACAGTTGCTTTCTCTTCTGAGAAGCAGTGAAATCTTTAGTGCACAGGTCATAAGATCCAGTTCCCTGGAGGTATTTAAACAAAGGTGGATATTGAAGTTGGTGGGGGCTCAGCCTCAGATGACCTTTAAGGTCTCTTTCAACCCATAACTCCTGGAATGCGAAAGTGTATAAAGTACCTCAGGCTTTCCATCTTGTTCTTGGTATTTGAACAACAGAACAAGGGCAGATAGAATGCTATTGGTTCTAGTGTTGTTTGTTTTCCTTTAAGATCAAGAGATCCAGCGCTATTGTTTTGAAAAATTCTAAATGTTTCTCTGCATTTGGGAAAGCCTGCTAAATTTGTCTACTGTTTCAAATTCTGGTAGACATTTTCTAAGATGAAATGAGGCAACCAATTAAAATGAAAATGAAAAGCCTAACGTTTTGGAGGTAGACCAGATTTCTAGAGTTCTAAAATGTGCTTGCACACAGGGTTTGCAAATGCATTCCCACTGTTCTAAGCTGAATATTTATAAAATCATGTTCTGGGGTGAAGATTCTATGAAAGGAGGTAATTGATAGCGTGGCCTTTACAAGGCTGGCATAGGCCAAAGACACAAATTGGTGGCCTCTGATGATTCCAAGAACAGTTGTGTTTTGTGTATCTTACACTACATTAAAAAAATCCAAAATGTTACCAACATTTAAAACTCAGAGGTTTTCACATGCATAAAAATACATATTTCTGCTTTTCCTGAAAATCCAGAAAGGCTATTGTGCATTGCTATAAAGAAATACCTGAGACTGGGTCATTTACAAAGAAAAGAGATTTAATTGGCTCCTGAGAAGGTGAAATAGGCAAGTCCCATGGCAAAAGTAGGAGCAAGTGAGAGGGAGAGACACAGAGAGAGAGAGAGAGAGAGTAGGGGAGAAGGGGAGGAGGTGCCACACACTTTTAAATGACCAAATCTCAGGATAACTCACTCACTATCACAAGAACAGCACCAGAGGGATAGTGCTAAACCATTCGTAAGAAATCTGTCCCCATTATCCAATCACCTCCCACCAGGGCCCACCTCCAACACTGGGGATTGCAATTCAACGTGAGATTTGGGTGGGGTACAAATATACAAACTATATCAACTGTCTACAGTGGACCCACATTCTCTCATGGCAATAAAAGATAGGATCTGAAGGTCTCTGGCCCCTTATACTGGGACATATCACCCCAGGGTATCCCTACTTGGACCCTTATTTCATTTCTGTCATCCGCCTGGCCTCTGAAGGCATTTGCTTTGGTCTCCACTCTCGGACAAAGCTGTGGCTCAGGAGGGCTGTGTCTGGGCACCTGGCATGGCCAATGCCCTCTTTGCCATTTGACTGTGCCTTGAATTCAGGAAATATGTGTCTTGCTACAAGTTTTTACAGTCCAGCACGGTTGCTTCTACCTGGTAGAAATCAAGAACTCTAACTTTTTCCTGCTCTCATTTCACACCTACCAGTTCCTGGTTTTCCCTCTTTTCTATCCCTCAAATCTGGACACTTTTTTTTTTTGAGTGAAAAGAGCTGGTATTAATGATTACGATTGACCTTTGAACAAGGCAGAGGTTAGGGGTGCTGACCTCTCATACAGTTGAAAATCTGCATATAATTTTTGACTCCCCCAAAATTTAGCTACTAGTAGTCTTCTGTTGACTGGAAGCTTATTGATAACATAGTCAATTAACATATATTTTGTATGTTATTTGTATTATATACTGTATTCTTACAATAAAGTAATCTAAAGAAAAGAAAATGTTTTTAAGAAAATTGTAAAATATGTATTTACTATTCATTAAGTGGAAGTGGATCATCATAAAAGTCTTCATCTTTGTCTGCACTTTGAGTAGGCTGAGGAGGAAGAGGAAGAGGAGGGGTTGGTCTTGCTGCCTCAGGGGTGGCAGAGGCAGAAGAAAATTCCTATATAAGTGGACCTGCTCAGTTCAAGGGTCAACTGTACTCTGGGACAACATGTGTACATTGGAGTTATTGTAGGTATAATCATTTTCTAGGGCTGCTATAAGAAAGTATCACAAACCACCTGGCTTAAAGCAACATAAATTTATTTTTTCACAAATTCTGGAGACCAGAGATCCAAATTTAACTACCAGCAGCGTTGGCTTTTTCTGGAGATTCTGAAGGAGAAAGCTGTTCAGTGCCTTTTTCCTAGCTTTTGGTGGTTGTTGGTGATATTTGGTGTTCCTTGGCTTGTAGGTACACCCCTCCAATCTCTGCCTTCGTTATCACATGGGATTCTTCCTGCATGTTTGTATCTCTGTTTTCTTTTCTTATTAGGACACCAGTCATATTGGATTAAGGACCACCATTTTAGCTTAATTATCTTTGCAAAGACCTGATTTCCAAATAAGGTTACATTCACAGGCACAGGAGGTTAGGACCTCAACGTATCTTTTAGAGGACACAATTTATATCACAGCAAGCTAGGTCATTTGTTCATGCTACCTCAGGCCCAATGCCTTCCTGCAAATTGCCCTTTATTTGTCCAGACAAGTCTGCTTAACACCTCACCCAATCAGATCCCAAAGCTCTAAACACTTATCCTTCCTCATTCTGCTCCCTCCATGAATGATCTCATTCCATGTTACTGTTAGGTGACAGGTCATCCTATTAAATAAATGGTAAGGAATGCTAAACTACATTGACTCTCTAAAGTTTATCTGCACTGTCTAATTGAAGATGATTTCTGAATTATAAGAGTAAAACATATTGAGTGCATAAAATTTGAATATTACATAGAAGTTACCCAGAGTTTGAATTATACCTCTGAGAAACAACTGTTAATTTGATTTTCTTCCAGTTTTTATTCTTTGCCTCTTAAAAATCAAAATTATATACTTTTATGTTGCACTATAATAAGTATTTTTCCATGTAAACTCTAGTATACTATATAATGTTCAATATTTGTCAAGTGTTTTCTAAATGCCAACTACTACCCTAAGTACTTTATGTGCATTATCTAATCTACTATTAATAGTTAGAATATTCCTAGAGGTAGATATGATTATTCCTATTTTATGAATGAGAAACTGAGGCAGAGTAAACCTAGAGAATTTTTTCTAGGCTACACAACTAGTATTTTGTAGAATCAGGATTCAAACCCAGCTCACCAATCTTCAGAGCTTGCACTGACAGCACTGTGAAGAATATCTTAACTTAGAAACAAACCATAATTCATTTTTATTTATATGGAAGCAAGAATCTCAAAAAGAATTGGCTTGGGTAATAAGATAAAGGCAAATGAATCTTGCATCTTTTCATCCCTTTCACAGCACCCCTCTCCCCAAAAGAGATCTCAGCACTCAAATCTCAATCCTACATTTGCATGCACACACAAGCACACACCTACACACACATGTGCACACATGTGCATGCCCCTCTACCATTCATCTAGTTGTAAATCTAGGGAATTATTCTTCCCTTTTTCTGTGTGCCTCTTCCTCCCATAACCAACCCACTACCAAATTGGCTAAGAAGCCAGATTTGCTTCTTAGATATATCTTTAAACTGTCTTATCTCCATCTCCTCCAGGCCACCATCACCAGTGACAGGGAAATGTGGCATTGCACCAGCTCTGCTCATTAATATCTTTGACAATTGGGGACTTTTTTTCCTGTTTACTTTCTACTGAGACGCTAGAAATGTAGATATGAATGGTTTGAGTTGACACAGTAGGCTGTCAGTTTCCCAGTGGAAATGAATTAGGTAAAGAAACCCATATCAACTGCTGGATAAGAATCAATGTGGGTGGTATAGCTCTTTTCTCTCTGTGCTCTTTACAATATTCTAGGGCAGTTTTGAGCAATTGAGATTGTTTTTTACCTTCTGACAGTGCATCAAAAGGAGTGGCTTCAGCAGTCAATATTGGGCTATGGGGTTGACAGATGTGGATTCAAGTTTCAACTCTGCTAATTATTTGTGACCTTTAGCAAGCTACTTGCTCTAAGCCTGTATTGGTTCCTGAGGACCACTGTAATAAATTACCACAAAATGGGTGACTTAAAAAAACAGAAATGTATTCTCTCAGTTTGGGAAGCTACAAGTCTAAAATCAAGGTGTTCACGGGTCTGTGCTTTTTCTGAAGCCCCTAGGGTAGGATCTTCCTTGTGGCTTCTTCCATCTCCTGGTAGCCCAGGTGTTCCTTGGCTTGCAGCAGGCTATCTCCAATATCTGTCCCTGTCTTCACCTGGGTCTTCCCTCTGTGTCTTTGTCTTCACTGGCATTCTCTTGTGTGTCTCAGTTTCCTTTTCTTATAAGGACTCCAGTCTTATTAGATTATGGCTCACCCTAATCCAGAATGATTTCATCTTAATTTGGTTACATCTTCAAAGACCCTATTTCCAAATAAGGTCACATGCACAGGTGCTGCGGGTTAGGACTTTAATATATCTTTTTTGGCAGGGAGGGGAGGGGGTGAACACAATTCAACCCATAAGCCTCAAAACTAGCTTTGTGACCTGTGCAAGACAGATAATAATACTATCTGCTAGATATGATTCTTTTGAGGATTCAGTGACAAACATGTCTGGGGCCTCACACGGTGCCTTCAACATAACTAGAACTCAGCACAAACATCCTGTCCTCTACCTCCCTTTCCAGACCCTCCCCTCTTCTTCTTCTCCTACTCAGCTACCCTAGTCTGTCATTTTTGTTTACTCACAGTAGAAACACAAAACAACCAAAAGTTTACATATTACCTGACTCCATCCTTCCTGCCATTAATTTAGCAGGTGTTTTTGGTGAATTTTTCAAACGAATGTATTTACCTTTCACAGTATTTCCAGAAAGGACTCAAAATTCAATGGCGTGTAAAAGACTACTTCATACTTGCCAGTACATAGTCCCCAGGTGTTCTGTAAGCACAGTTTCTTTTGATGAAGAAAGCTATGAAGAATTCCGTTCCTCTCCAGCACCATCCAGTGAAACTGATGAGGCCCCATTGATTTTTACTGCCAGAGGAGAAACTGAGGAGAGAGCCAGAGGAGCACCCAAGCAGGCTTGGAACAGTTCATTTTTGGAACAACTGGTTAAAAAGCCTAACTGGGCACACTCAGTAAATCCTGTTCACCTGGAGGCTCAGGGCATACACATCAGTAGACACACAAGACCTAAGGGCCAGCCCTTGAGCAGTCCCAAGAAAAATTCTGGTAAGTATCATGTTGTGGTTACTGACTCTTCTTGTTTCAACTGGTCACATTTTGTTTTTAACTTCAGTATAAACAGAAAAAATATTGACTTCATGGCCAGTCCTATTCTAGAAGGTACTGTAAGAACTGTAGTAGCCAGTCTTCAATGAAAGTCTGCTTGTTGTCAAGCATTATATTGGAGGAGAGAACAGGTGTGAGTTGATGACAGGTAATTTGATGATTCAGTTATTGCACCTGACAATGACAGCTATTATCATCACCATTCCAGCCACACTTATTAAGCTTTCACCATGTGCCAGACACTGTGCTAGGCATTTTATATTATTTTATGAAATCCTCATATAATATTCAGGCAGATCATACCATTATCCCCATTTTACAGACAAGGAAGTTGTGAATTCATAGCACAGGATATAGGAGGAATGATTCAAAGTAAGGACATGGCCCAGAAGGGATAAGTTTTGACTGTGCTCAAATATCGACTCTCTCCCATCTCAGATCTGTAGCCATGATCAAGTCTCAAAAATGTTTTTGCAGCCCAGTTTTTTCATCTGTAAAAAATGACAATTATTACTTCAAATTAAATGATTTATATAAATAAAATTTCCTGAACATAGTAAGGGCTTAATGGGGGTGGTGATGACGGTGGTGGTACTTATGGTGCTGATGTTCAGACTGGAGGAGAGAAAATGTAAGGAAAAAATGTGGATCTCCAAATATTCCAAGAGCTGTCATGTAGAAGAAGGATGAGACTGATGTTATATAGTCTTTTCATTTATAGCAAGCTTGTCCGACTCATGGTCTATGGCTTTATATGTGGCCCAACACAAATTCGTAAACTTTCTGCAAACACGAGATTATTTGTGAGTTTTTTTCTCATTAGCTATCATCAGTGTTAGTGTATTTTATTTATGGCCCAAAACAAGACAATTTTTTTCTTCCTATGTGGCCCAGGGAAGCCAAAAGATTGGACACCCCTGCTTTATAGGGACCTTTTGAGGTAGGTTTCCCTCCACATGTTTGTACAGTTTGTTGGAACTGACCAGAAGACAAGAGATAGATTTTGACTCAATACAAAGGAGAACTTTCTTTGAACTAGAAGAGAATGTACTGCATGGGCTAGAAGTGCTCAAGCAGGGGGCTGGGAGACCTTCTTCCAGAAAGGCTATGTCAGAGATTCCCTTGTTTCTGGGAGGCTGAGCCTGGTGATGGGAAACAGAAGATGCTGGTCGGCTAACACTTTTGAATTCTTACTATGAACAAGGCAATATGTTGAAATTGGAATGTACATCTTCAGTTTTGATCCTCATGACTCTCTTCTGAGATAGAAACTGTTATTTTCCTATGGTTTAGTGCAGAATCCAGGTCAGAGTATTTCTAGATCCAGGTTCTAAATATGACTATGGTGACTCTTGAGTACTGAGCACTTGCCATGTACTTGATGCTTAACATTTTGTCAGATTCTTTCCTCCAATACTTAGCTAGTTTCCTTTCTCATTTCAAGTCTTTGACTTGAAATGTCACCTACTTAGGTCTTTCTCAACTTCCTTTTTCAGTTTATTTTTCATCATAGGGTTTATTACCAGCTGGCACTTAAAATTTATTCATTCACTTGCTCGTTAGTCTGCTTCTCCTCCCTACTTTTTATTGCCTGCATATTCCTTCTGTATCCCCAAGGTCTAGAATACTGCTGATCACATACTGAGCATTCAAATATTAATAAATGAATGAACAAATTTAATCTCACTAGCAACCCTGTGAAGTAGGTAATATAATTCCCATCTTTCGGGTAAGGTCAAAGAGACTTAGGCCAGGTCATGTACCAAGATTTGAATCTGTGAAGTCCTGACCCCAGAGCTTTACTTCATTATACCACACTGTTCCTTTAAGATAGTTTGTTGCAAAATGTATCATTACTAAATTGCTTTCAGGGAAGGAAATTTCTATTTTTTTGGCTCAAGACATAGGAAAGCATATCCTGTCTAGGTCATGCCCTGTTGCTCCAAACTCCAAAGCTACATCAATGTTCTCTGGAGGATTCTTCTTGCACTGAATATTGATGGCAGTGAATGGTTCATCTGACAGGGCCAGAAATCCAAATCAACAGCTATTAAGCACCTAGTGTTCACAAAGCAACATGCTTGAAAGTTTTCATTTACTTGGAGATATTAAAATGCCATTCTGCCTTTATTTCAGGAAGTGATTCCTGCATTGGAGAATTCAGATTCACAAAAAAATTTTCACTGTTTGACTTGGGCATGTGGAATGTGCAGAGGGAGGTGCTCAGTACATACTAGGCATAGAACAGAGTTCGATGAACTAAACTGAATTACGTAAAGATACACTGGCTGTTTGACATCCAGTGTTAGGAAGGTACTATTCATTTTAATTATTTTATGTGTTTTTTGAATTTTGGAATGATCTGAGTTGCTCCAAATATTCTAGACATCTAAATGCTATTAAAAACCTTTGAAAGCTTCTAGAAAGTGATTTAAAGCACATACATTTTTTATTTAAGGCACATAAATTATCTTAAGTCACTACTGAAGAATTAGATTTTAATTTGTGTAGGTCAATGGGCAGAATTTTTCAGGTAAAATCTTCATGATTTATATATGTATTTATATAAATCTTGAAGTTTATATATGCAATATATTATATAATATGGAAGTTTATATATACATATGAAAATGTAGGTAAATATATGTTTCTGAATATATATATATTCACACACACATATAGCAGTCTTGGCTATGTTGTAAAAAAACACATCTTTTGTATGGAAAAATTATTTCGTTGGGCAAAGAAAGAAAAAAGTCAAACTTATTAGTATTAGTGGATATGTGTGTGTGATGTAGACCCAGTCTTAGGTTAATTTACTGTTTGTTTTAGTCTTCAGCTGGTTTGAAGTTTCCAATAAAACTCATGAAATAACAGCCTCCTGTATTTAAAAAAAATCATCAGTTGACAGCCTACAGGAGCTGTAGACACATTTGCTTTTACATATCCATTAATAACTCCGCTTGACAATTTTCCAATCACAAACTTTCCCTTCATTTAGAAGTTCGGGCCCTATTTTAGCCACCGATTCTTCTATGTCTCTCTCTTTAGGAGTTTTGAACAGTTTTCCTTGAAATAGAAAGTTTTCTGAGGATTATGCAAAAGCTATTTTTTTTTTTGAGGTGTTGGGTAGGTGGTTTCAAAGAACAGGAAAGGAATGGATAGCATTTTTGTTTTCTTAGAGAAATATGGGGAGGCAGGTGAGGATCATGTCAGGGTTTTTTTTTTTTTTTCTTTCCCCTCTGAGCACATTACAAATGTTGATTTCTCAGACGTCCAGTTGTCGCGGGGGTGCGGTGTGGTCCCGCACGCTTGAGCCTCATCTCTGTCCTGCTTTCCTGCTTTGCCTTCCAGGTTCTGCCGCCAGACCTTCCACTGCCATCGGCCTCTGCAGGAGGAGCCAGACGCCCGGCGCTCTGCAGAGCACCGGCCCGAGTAACACAGAGCTCGAGCCGGAGGAGAGGATGGCAGTCCCAGCAGGCGCTCAGGCACACCCCGACGACATCCAAAGCAGACTCCTGGGCGCGTCCGGAAATCCCGTCGGAAAAGGCGCGGTTGCCATGGCGCCGGAGATGCTCCCCAAGCATCCTCATACCCCGCGGGACAGGAGGCCTCAGGCGGACACCTCCCTCCATGGCAATCTGGCAGGAGCGCCCCTTCCTCTGCTGGCCGGTGCTTCCACCCATTTCCCCTCCAAGAGGTTAATAAAGGTTTGCTCCTCAGCACCCCCCCGCCCAACCCGGCGTTTCCATACGGTTTGTTCACAGGCCCTTTCTAGGCCGGTGGTGAATGCTCACTTACATTGACCGCTGCGAGGGAATTGTTCGGCGAGTGCTGCCCATCTTCAAATCAATGCCTGCTCAGAACAACAGAAAGGGCCTCAGATGTACTGGTTTCCACAGAACCATTGTTAGGCTTTTGTGAAGCATTTTTGAACCTAATAAATAATGTCAAAAGTCCCTAGCGCAGCCAAAAATGTTCCTTTTGAAGCATCTCTAATAGTATTTTTGTTCTGCGGTGTCTCCCAGTGTTACAAAGAATTTGTGCCTCACAATAGGGATGGGGTACATCGCGTGCCACTTTGCAACGTGCCTCTTGGGATTGTGAGGACCCCTCTTTGTTTTGCTTTCGCAGGTAAACGGTTTCACTTGCCAACTTCGCCTTTGGCTTAAGGATGTTTTCTAAGGGCCTTTAGAATTTCTAAAGAGAGTTTGGGAAAACATAATTGAATGTCTGTAATTTAATAATTTACATGAAATTTGATTACTCCTGATGTGCCCAGGGGAATTTTTCATGTCGTATTAAGGATTTAATGTCAGAAACCTGAAGCTGGACCCCAGTTTGAGGCCCTGAAACACTTGGAACCAAGTTTAATGTAAAAGAGGTGCTGAATTTGCTGATTTGTAATACAAAAAACTGGAGCAGCTTAGGGAACCTTTTATCAAACTGGTAATTTTAGGCAATACCTTTTATTTTGTTAATATAGCAGCTTTTCTTCACGGTAGGATTCTGAGACCAACTTTATCAATTGATTTTATGAGTTTAGTTTTTCTCTTTTTAATATAGTAGGGTTTTTTTCCCCTTCAGAAACAAAGAGAAGTCAATGTGACCGATATGCATACATGCAGTTTTGCACTCAAGTTCCTTGGAATTTTCCCACAAGCTTGGATTCACAGAGTTTGATAGATGGAGGTTGTCAAATCTTACTGCATTTAAAAAAAATTTTTTTTTCTTCAGTTCAAATTAATATACACAGTATGATTACATTTAAGACAGCATAATGTCTCAAGTCCAAATTTAAGTCTCAAGGTTTTGAGAGGAATGAAATGTTATAAGCAATAACTTCCTAACATTTAAGAGTCTGTTTAGTCCTTTGGAGACTGAAGACTGTTTACTTTTTTTATTATTAGCATGCTTTAAGAATTATGCACTTTAAAGAAAAATGGAATCCCTAAACTTTAGAGCTTTCTTGGTTCCAGATTAATATGATTTTTTAATAATAAATATGCTTTTATTTTTATTCATTTATTAACATGGTTTATTATAAGACAATGTACAGGTTATCAATGTTGATTGCTGTGGTTTCCTGAGGATATAATGGCATCTGCTTACCAGAGTTCATGTGACAATCACAAATTCAACTTCATGCCATTTGGTTGGAGATAAATGTGTTAGGCAAACTCATGGACTTATGTAGAAGTTTTATTCTGGGATATTTTAATTTGCTATTTAATTATGAGTTAACACAACTGATTTTTTTAGTTTAAGACATCATTACTTTAAGTTATTTTAAAACAATTAACCAAAAATTTGTAATGGTCAATTTCAAGAATAGAAAATGTACTTGATATAGTAGATGGATTCCTTCAGCTGTAGAAGTGCAAATTCCTGAATTTATTAAAAATGCAAAACAGAAGGAGAGATCCTGTTCAGAATTCAGAAAAGGAATACAGGCTAAAGACATAAAATATGTGGTATTCTAAAGAAGTTTCCCAAAGTGTGTTTTGTGAAACACTGGTATAAGAAAGATAGTTTGTGAGATGGAGAGTCCATAGATAAATATGTCTGAGAGATACCCACCATGTACCCTCTTAGAGAGTCATAGTAACATTAGGTCCCTGAGAAATCCCATAATAAAAAAAATCTGATAAACTCTGTTTAACCCAATGTCTAGCAACCTTATTTAATCATGGAATCCTGATAGATTTGTGTGTGTGTAAACACATACGTGTTTTTGAAAAAAACTTATCAGTACTTTGTACCACCAGTGTCCTATGCAACACCCTTGGGAAAACATTGCTCAAAACTCTGTTCTAAATACACCAAAGTCTATGTAGATTTGTAGGGTTCAAAGTAAGGATTTCTTTTCAAATTAGTGAGGTAAAAATCAGGGCTAAAGAGAGAGCACTTTGAGACCCTTTTCTTCCTTGGAGCAGTGTAATGAGCTGTCTCTGTTTATTTGTCCTCATTTTGGATGCACATGTTTGGGAGAAAATTAGTTGACTCAGCCCTGATCATGCTCTTTAGTGATGGATGAGAAGCATTTTCAACTCTGTCATCGTCATGGGCTGGAGGGGTTCAAGTCCTTTGGAATGACAGCTTCTTTTGTACTATAACTTAGACACAAATGCACCAAGGTAAATGTAGTGAATTCTTTCCCAATACCATTTGTTCTGAAAACAGTGCTAAATTAAACAGTAATAACTGAGGATGAATCCATTTAAGGAAGTAAATATTTTTATATGTAGCACAGGCAGTGAAGACTAGAATGAGGTCCTATTGTAAAAAATAATTGTTTCACAGGTTCTGAGTTACAGTTTTCCTTTATTTCTTTATGTGGTTTGACTTATGGCTATGTTGTATTACCACACACTGTAAATATCTTTAAGGAACATAATATGCCACTTCATGGAAAAATATTTTTATGAAAGTTGCATTAGAAAATAAATATTGAGAAATATAAAAATTTGGTGCACTGAAGAAACTAAGTATTTAGGATAATCTCTAGTGAATAATGTTTACAAATAAGGACTCTTTTTATAATATATAAAATAATAATTATAATAACAGCTAATATTTATTGTGTATTGTACTAGAGACTGTCCTGTTTAACGTATATTAATTCATTTAGTCCTTATAATGGCTTCACGAAGTAGTTACTATTATCTCCATTTCATAGATAAGGAAGCTTCATCTTTAATGATAATAATGATACACATACAAATATTTTTTTAAAAACTGTATAATATGTTATTTTATACATAGAGCTGTATTATACAATATATTATGAAAGCTAGTATATATGCATATATGAATATATTTGTGTTCCACCTACAACTATAAATCAGTTTTTATACCCTGCGGTTGGTACATAAGTGAGGTGAGAATAGAGCCTCTACTTATATCCCCTCACCTCCTGATTATATAGTAGAGAACTGGAAGTGATAATTGTGGGTTGACAACATAGCATATGTTTGAACTCTTTGACAAACAAAGCATAAGAGATTATTGTGACATAGTTCTTTTTATTTGAAGCAACATTATCCCTGAAGGCTCAGAAAATAAGGGAAGGAAAGGTTGTTTTGAGGTTTATGAAAGATGGCAGCACTTTTAAGATTATTGGAACTGACCAAAATCAGACTTGTGAAAGACATGGGATGTTGTAGAGGGAGGATTAAGGAAAAAGCTAAGGTACTGGAGCTGATCCAGATCTCAAGAGCCAAGGGTGCATTCCTATAAAGGTGACCTGAACTCAGCGTCACTCCTACCACTTGGCCAGAGTGTCTTCGCTGTTAAATTGGGATTATGGTAGTTTTTTCCAATTCTGTGAAGAAAGTCATTGGTAGATTGATGGGGGTGGCATTGAATCTATAAATTACCTTGGGCAGTATGGCCATTTTCACGATATTGATTCTTCCTATCCATGAGCATGGAATGTTCTTCCATTTGTTTGTATCCTCTTTGATTTCGTTGAACAGTGGTTTGTAGTTCTCCTTGAAGAGGTCCTTCACATCCCTTGTAAGGTGGATTCCTAGGTATTTTATTCTCTTTGAAGCAATTGCGAATGGGAGTTCACTCATGATTTGGCTCTCTGTTTGTCTGTTATTGGTGTATAGGAATGCTTGTGATTTTTGCACATTGGTTTTGTATCCTGAGACTTTGCTGAAGTTGCTTATCAGCTTAAGGAGATTTTGGGCTGAGACAATGAGGTTTTCCAGATACACAATCATGTCATCTGCAAACAGGGACAATTTGACTTCCTCTTTTCCTAATTGAATACCCTTTATTTCTTTCTCCTGCCTGATTGCCCTGGCCAGAACTTCCAACACTGTGTTGAATAGGAGTGGTGAGAGAGGACATCCCTGTTTTGTGCCAGTTTTCAAAGGGAATGCTTCCAGTTTTTGCCCATTCAGTATGATATTGGCTGTGGGTTTGTCATAAATAGCTCTTATTATTTTGAGATATGTCCTATCAATATCTAATTTATTGAGAGTTTTTAGCATGAAGGGTTGTTGAATTTTGTCACAGGCCTTTTCTGCATCTATTGAGATAATCATGTGGTTTTTGTCTTTGGTTCTGTTTATATGCTGGATTACATTTATTGATTTGCAGATGTTGAACCAGCCTTGCATCCCAGGGATGAAGCCCGCTTGATCTTGGTGGATAAGCTTTTTGATGTGCTGCTGGATTTGGTTTGCCAGTATTTTATTGAGGATTTTTGCATCGATGCTCATCAGGGATATTGGTCTAAAATTCTCTTTTTTTGTTGTGTCTCTGCCAGGCTTTGGTATCAGGATGATGCTGGCCTCATAAAATGAATTAGGGAGGATTCCCTCTTTTTCTATTGATTGGAATAGTTTCAGAAGGAATGGTACCAGCTCCTCTTTGTACCTCTGGTAGAATTCGGCTGTGAATCCATCTGGTCTGGACTTTTTTTTTGGTTGGTAGGCTATTAATTATTGCCTCAATTTCAGATCCTGTTATTGGTCTATTCAGAGATTCAACTTCTTCCTGGTTTAGTCTTGCAAGGGTGTATGTAACTTTAAAGTTCATATGGAACCAAAAAAGAGCCCGCATTGCCAAGTCAATACTAGGCCAAAAGAACAAAGCTGAAGGCATCATGCTACCTGACTTCAAACTACACTACAAGGCTACAGTAACCAAAACAGCATGGTACTGGTACCAAAACAGGGATATAGACCAATGGAACAGAACAGAGCCCTCAGAAATAATACCACACATCTACAGCCATCTGATCTTTGACAAACCTGACAAAAACAAGAAATGGGGAAAAGATTCCCTATTTAACAAATGGTGCTGGGAAAACTGGCTAGCCATATGTAGAAAGCTGAAACTGGATCCCTTCCTTACACCTTATACAAAAATTAATTCAAGATGGATTAAAGTCTTAAATGTTAGACCTAAAACCATAAAAACCCTAGAAGAAAACCTAGGCAATTCCATTCAGGACATAGGCATGGGCAAGGACTTCATGTCTAAAACACCAAAAGCAATGGCAACAAAAGCCAAAATTGACAAATGGGATCTAATTAAACTAAAAAGCTTCTGCACAGCAAAAGAAACTACCATCAGAGTTAACAGGCAACCTACAGAATGGGATAAAATTTTTTGCAATCTACTTATCTGACAAAGGGCTAATATCCAGAATCTACAAAGAACTCAAACAAATTTACAAGAAAAAAACAACCCCATCAACAAGTGAGTGAAGGATATGAAGAGACACTTCTCAAAAGAAGACATTTATGCAGCCAAAAGACACATGAAAAAATGCTCATCATCACTGGCCATCAGAGAAATGCAAATCAAAACCACAATGAGATACCATCTCACACCAGTTAGAATGGCGATCATTAAAAAGTCAGGAAACAACAGGTGCTGGAGAGGATATGGAGAAATAGGAACGCTTTTACACTGTTGGTGGGACTGTAAGCTAGTTCAACCATTGTGGAAGACTGTGGCGATTCCTCAGGGATCTAGAACTAGAAATACCATTTGACCCAGCCATCTCATTACTGCGTATATACCCAAAGGATTATAAATCATGCTGCTATAAAGACACATGCACACGTGTGTGTATTGTGGCACTATTCACAATAGCAAAGACTTGGAACCAACCCAAATGTCTATCAATGATAGACTGAATTAAGAAAATGTGGCACATATACACTATGGAATACTATGCAGCCATAAAAAATGAAGAGTTCATGTCCTTTGTAGGGACATGGATGAAGCTGGAAACCATCATTCTCAGCAAACTATCACAAGGACAAAAAACCAAACACCGCCTGTTCTCGCTCATAGGTGGGAATTGAACAATGAGAACACTTGGACACAGGAAGCGGAACATCACACACTGCGGCCTGTTGTGGGGTGGGGGGAGTGGGGAGGGATAGCATTGGGAGATATACCTAATGCAAATGACGAGTTAATGGGTGCAGCACACCAACATGGCACATGTATACATATGTAACAAACCTGCACGTTGTGCACATGTACCCTAGAACTTAAAGTATAATTTAAAAAAAAATTTAAAAAAATTGGGATTACATGTTTTTTTTACTGCAAAGGATAACTTGGGGACGAAATTTGCTATAAAATGAAAGCATTTTGAAAAGTAAGAGTGGTATCCAAATTCAAATCATTATTTTATGACTAATATCAGCAATAATTAGTACGTATATTATCATTATTTATGCAAGGCTGATATAAGAGGTTATAGATCTAACTTCCTTACACTGACATTGAGCACAATTTCTGCTGACTGTGTCATCATGTTCCTCTCTAAGAAGTTTTTATACACTATATCCTTTACCTTCATTCCATAACTGTGAGGTCAGTAGTATTATCCCATTTACCAATGAGGAAAGTGAAACACAGGGAGACATACAATTTGGCCAATGACTGCCTCCATCACTCATGCTCGCAAAGATTACAGTACAATGTCTTATTCAAAGCAAGTTATATGTTAAAAAAAAAAACAATGTATGCAGTTGATGAATTTACAAACTATTCCATGAAGAACCTCCAATTTAGAAAAGTTCAGATTGGGGTACACGATGCCATGTGGTATCCTCCAAATGTGATCTTTTAGTTCGGCTCTCTATAAAAGACTCTAAAACTACCCAGACAAGGGAAGGGATGAGGTAATGTTTTTGTAACTACAAATGTGATGTTGAGGATTTGTAGTCACACAGGGACACAGGAAAGAGGTTGTTGTCAAGAGAAGACTCAACCTCAAGAAGAATGCTCCAACCCTTTACTATGGAGTAATACATAGCCATAAAAAAGAATGAGATTATGTCCTTTGCAGGAACATGGATGGAGCTGGAGGCCATTATCCTTAGCAAGCTAACACTGGAACAGAAAACCAAATATCCCATGTTCTCAGTCATAAGTGGGAGCTAAATTATGAGAACACATGGACACATGAAGGGAAACAACACACACTGGGGCCTTTTGGAGGGTGGAGGGTGAAGGATGGGAGGAGGGAGAGGATCAGGAAAAATAACTAATGGGTACTATTATGCCTAATACCTGGGTTATGACATAATCTGTACAACAAACCTCCATGACACAAGTTTACCTATGTAACAAGCCTGCACATGTATTCCTGAACTTAAGAAAAATGCTGCAGAATTCTTAAGGTGTATGGGGTCCCTCTTGCAGAGTCCAAGGTCTTTGTGAAATATAATTCTCTGCTTCCATCCTTTTTCACAAGGTTTTTTCCTTCTTTCTTTCTTTCTCTTTCTTTTCCTTCTTTCTTTCTTTCTTTCTTTCTTTCTTTCTTTCTTTCTTTCTTTCTTTCTTTCCTTCCTTCCTTCCTTTCTTTTTCTTTCTTTCTTTCTTTCTTGCTTGCTTGCTTCTTTCTTTCTTCTTCCTTTCTTTTTCTTTCTTTCTTTCTTTCTTGCTTGCTTGCTTATTTCTTTCTTTCTTTCTTTCTTTCTTTCTTTCTTTCTTTCTTTCTCTCTCTCCTTTCTCTCTTTCTTTCTTTCTTTCTTTCTTTTTCTTCTTTCTTCTTTCTCTTTCTTTTTTTTTTCTGCCATGTTTAGGCTTCCCACTACTGCTTCTTCCATACTCCCATGCTCTGTGTTTTCCCTCCTCTATGGGAATCAATCCAATTTTGTAAGTCAGTGATATTGACAGATATTGAGATCATGAAGCATTAATTGGGTCCTTACCATCCTAGGTACTCTGCAAGAGATCTGAGAAATTTGATTCAACTCAACCAATAGTTATTGTATGCACCATGTACAAGGCACTGGCCTTGGTGCTGGGGTTGTCTACTAAAAAGGACACAGTCTTCTTCCTTGACTAGTTCAACCTAGTGCAAGGCTTAGTTCTTTCACTTATTCATTCTAAAATATTTACTGAACATCTGCTATGTGCTGAATGTGTTGTACTGGAGACAGAATAGTGAAGAGCCATTTTAATTCAGTGAGACCTAGATAGTGAAACATGAAATAATGACACAATGATATTTAGGTCCTTTGATGATAATCCTTTAGCCACAGTCGTGAGACCCAAAATCTCTGAAAATTAAAAGTTAATTTTTCTGTCAATTATGAGCCAAACTGAACACATGAGTATTCTCACTCTGGGGAATACTCCTGTATTTCAATGAAGACGTAGTAATATATTTGATGATATAGTTCTGCCTTGGACCCCCATGGAAAGTGTTAAACAACACGTGATTTATGCACCATTCCATAATATGTAGCTTACAGCCATAACATAGAAAAAATTCTAAATTCTGAACTCAACCAGCCTGGAGGGTTTTGAAAAAAGGATTTTGAAGTTTTAAAGTGAGTAAGTGCAGTAGAAAGTTAGAGAAGGGAGAGATCAGTTCTGGTTGGAATAATTGAAGGCTTCCTGTAGAAGAATTTGAACTTGATTTTGGAGTGTGGAGGATTTGAAGGGACAAAATAGTGGATAAAATGGAAGTAGCAACCAGGGACTGATCAACTTTCGTGGTACCTGAAGCTTATACATTTTGAGGGGAGCTCTTTCAGGAATAGAATACAACATTATAAACATAGTTAGGTAGAGGAAACGGTCCTTACAAACAAAGGACCCTTCAGCTCATTTTATTTGTTTTTTAATAAATCCATCTCTGAGTAAGGCAAAAGACATGGGGATTTACCTTATAAAGTGAAATATACCTGCAGATATATGTTGATTCATGGAGGAGAGAAAGAGGAGACCAGAGATGGGTTCCTGAAAGGGAAGGGAATTAATCTTATTTATTTTCTTTTTGAATTGTTTGAGATTTTGGAAATTGATAGTCAAAAAAGGCATCTCTTTAAAAATTTTTGGCATAGTATGTGTGGCTTTTGGAAAACAGCCTAAAGAGATTTTAAAGAATGAATCAATTTTTCATTGAATTCACTTCAATGAATTCTATGGTGTTTTTCAGAGTGAGTGGCCTTTTCTAGTTTTCTCATGTTTGACTCTATAGCTAGTCAATTGCTAACATTTAAATATTTGTCAATCATAATTATTTTAATGTAGTTAAATGGAAAACTCTTTAAAGAAGAGAAAAAGCTGCATTTCATTTTGAAGTTTACCTTTTTAATAGACTATTTAGGGATATATTTTCTTTAGATTTCAGAATATATGCATGAATTTCAAAATATATTTAAAGATGAATACTTTAAAATTGAAATGGAGATTTCAGTCTTATTATTAGTCAGTATACCTAGCAATACTCTTTTCTAAAGCATTTTCAAAGCTATACATAATAATTCATATTTACTCAAAAAGAATAGTAACATCACCAAGTGGTGTTAAGAATCAATAAAAGTAACTAAGTAATACTGATAGTGTTGATTGCATCCTTACTGTATGTTAGACACTATTCTGGTTCCCTTATTGTGGAACCCCTGCTTCCTTCCTCCTTTCTTTCTTTTTGGTCTTCTTTTTTGTTTTTAAGCCACAAAGATTTGATTATTATTCTTGCTTGGTTACTTTTAATTATTTATTTATTTTGACAGCTTTATTGAGACATATTTATATATCATATAATTCACCCATCTTAAGTGTACAATTCATGAGTTTTTCATATATTCACAGGTATGTGAATTTGAATAGAAACCCTGTACCCTTTAGCTGATACCCTGCTTTCCTCTGCAACACCCAGCCCCAAGCAACCACTATTCTACTTTGTCTCTATAGATGTCCACTATTCTGGACATTTAATATGAATGAAATCATATAATATGTGTCTTTTGTGACTGGCTTCTTTCACTTAGCATGACTTTTTAAGGTTCATCCATATCATATTGCATGCCAGTGCTTCCTTCTTTTTAATGGCCAAATAATATTCTACTGTATGGACATACCACATTTTGTTTATCCATTGATTGGTTAATGGACATTGGGGCTGTGTCCACCTTTTGACTATTATGAATAATGCTGCTATCAACACTCATGTACCAGTTTTTGTGTGTACATATGTTTTGCTTTCTCTTGCATGCAGTGCTGTGGTAGGAGATGAGCAGGACTTGTTTTCCAAGCACCAGTCATGACCCCATTGATCAAAACAAGATCTGGTTAAAGCAGGATGCAGTAAAGAAATAGGCCAAAACCAGCTAAAACCAAGATGGTAACCTCTAGTTGCTCTCACTGCTCATTATACGCTAATTACAATATGGTAAAATGGTAAAAGACACTTCCACTGGTGCCATGACAGTTTACAAATGTCATGGAGATGCCCAGAAGTTACCTTATATGGTTTAAAAGGGGAGGAACCCTCAAGTCTGGGAACTCCCCACTCCTTTTCTAGAAAATCTGTGAATAATTCACCCCTTATTTAGCACGTGATTAAGAAGTAGCTATTAAGTATAGCTAGTCAGCTATCTGTGAGTGCTACTCTGCCTATGGGGTAGCCCTGCTCTGTCTGTGGAGCAGTCATTTTCCTGTGCTCTGTTGCTCTAATAAACTTGCTTTGCTTTCGCTACTCTGTCAGCTTGTTCTTGAATTCTTTGCTGCATGAAGCCAACAACTGCTGTGGGCTGAGGCCCAATTTTGGGATTCCCCCGCATTGGTATCTCCTTTAATTTTCCCAATACTTCTATGGTGTATTGTTATCCTCTTCTACACAACAGGAAACTCAGAATAAAGAGGTTACTTGTCCAAAGTCACACAGTCTGTTCAAGGCAGAGCTGGACTGTAAGCCTAGGCAGGCTGACCAGAATTTGCCATACGCCTTTTCTCTGTATCAGAATTTCTCAGATGGACTTCTAAGTTTTCTTTAGTTAGGATATCTAAGAAATTGCACAAAAGTTTGCTGTTTAAATATACCCAACCACCTCTAACCATTTACCAATCATCTGACTAAATACTATATTTTCTTTTTTAAAAAAATATTTTATAAATTTAGGGGTACAAGTGTAGTTGTGTTACATGCATGTATAGCATAGTGGTGAAGATTGGGCTTTTAGCACATCCATCACCCGAGTAGTGTACATTGAACTCAATAGATAGTATTTCATCCCTCACCCCCCTCCCACCCTTCCACCCTTTAGAGTCTCTAGCATTCATTATTCCACTTTGTATGTCCATTCTACACGTTTTCTAAAGTGCATCCAGAAAATAGAATTCTTAAAAATGTATAGCGTGCATGGAATTAACACCACTTTTTTCTGTTTAAACCACATTTTCTTACTTAGCCCTAAATTGCACTTACCTTTCTATAATGTGTGGGCAGATGTTAGAATGGCAAAGACCATCCCCAAACTGTCCATTAATTAATCCTCTTGGGGTAAGTCCCCTCCCCACTTAATTCTTTGGGATGAAATCAGAAATCAGTATTGTGTGTTAGTTCCTTCCTTCCCACACCTCCTCTAGGTTAAAGCTGAATTCTTTGAGATCAAGATTTTTTATGTGTTTGACTTTAACAATGTTCTCTTCACATGTCCTTGCATAGGCCCAACAATTGCCTGTTGACCCATTTTAACCTCTTTTGAGTGTCATCTTCAAAGTCTAACTGTCCTTGACAATGAAAGAGACCTTCCTATTGTCTGGTCCTTCCAGGCAATCTTTAGCATGGAGCTCAATGGCTTTCAGATGGAGGAGTTGGCTAGAGGAAGGAGACAAAGTAAGCTGTTGTTCCTGAGTGACTTTGCTAAAGTTTCCCTTTTCTCTCTTAGAATGGTGCATTTCTATAGAAGATGACAGACGTTTTGACAGGTGCAATATGCTTTGAACTGTTGTGTCTGATAATTCTTTTGTCTTGGGTTTTCCCAGCAGAGTGGTACATCTTAGGATGCTGATATGCATATTGTTTGCTTTTCATTTAGTGTGGTGAAGCCGTACTTCTTGCTTTCCTTCCACTTCTCTCTTTAGACCCTCTGCATGCATGTCACTAACCCAGATGGGGAGGCAGGCATTAGTGCAGGAAGCTTTCCCTTACCCTTCCTTCCCCTTTTCCCCCTCAAAATGAAAATCACTTTTTGCATAGTTTTCTCATTGTTTACAAAATGAAAGAGAAAAAAAGAAGTTACCAAAAGGCATTAAGAAAAAGCAGAAATTATCTATAGCTTAATAACCCAATGACAACCACTATTTACATTTTGGAGCATATCCTTTCATACATTTTTCTTAGCATATTCACATATAGAACTATTTGTTCAAGAATGAGCTCTTACTACACACATTGTTCCATAAGCTGTTTTTTCCCCCCATCACAATGAACTGTTGACATCTTTGCAATATCAACAAACGGTGATCTACATTAGCATTTTAAACACCTATAGAATCTTTTATTGCATCATTGTAGTATAATTTAATTAGCCAATTTGCTATTTTGGAACATTTTAATTATTTGCAAATTTCACTATAGGAAAAATTTTTATGAATATTTTCACTATAGGAAAAATATTTCATGAATATATTTTATGTATAATTGTTATCTGCTCCTCTAATTATTTTTATAATGTGAATTCCTAAAAGTAAAATTGTAAAATGCATGCAAGATTTAACTTTTGGTATCTTTTCTGTCCAAAAATATTCCTAAGTATTTTGTCTGGTATGCTCTTTGACTCACAGAACTTAAAAAATGATAATATTAGTTAGAAAATATTTGGTCCAAAACAAAAATGGACATCAGAGATCCCAAATAACATGATTTTGCCCCTTTGTTTTGTCATGATGAATTAGATCTACACAGATTTTTCTGCTTTGGTATAAATGTGGGAGAATTTTTATCTGACAAATTAGAGGACTTCTCTTCAGGCATTAAGACTGGGGCTTCCAAATATGTAATATATTAGTACTACCTGTTCTATATCTAAAGCAATAAGATAATAGAACCTTAACACTGCTCAGTTTGTTTTTCCAAGTGATCTTTTATGTATTTCTATTAAATGTGATTGTTGCCTAACACCTTGTTCCAATTATGTCTAAAAACAACAGACCGAACCAAGATATGAGGAAATTGTTTATAAGAGAAATTAAAAATAGCCCTGCTCCTTGCAATGAGTGATTTTACTTTTTTTGTTCAAGTTTATATTATTCTTTAGTACTAAAAATTTCTAGAATCTGGCAAAGAATGAACTAATAAATAGGGAGTTCAGGATTTGTGTTTTTTGCTAATAAAAAATAGTTATAGGAGATTTTGAGATGTTTATCCATCATTCAGAACCTTCTGAAGACACTTTGATTTATAAATAAAGCATCTTACCATGTAAGCAGTATCAGGGGGACATGAATGAAGGGCAAAATCTTTTACACGTCTAACATAGTGGCATGTGGTTTACAGAGCATCTGAAAAAATAAAAATATTGTGCTCTGTGGAAAATGATGGAATATAACATCTGTGTTTTGGATTTAAAAAGGGTGAAATTATATTTAAATGTTTATTAAAAGTGACAGGTAAAAGTGCTTGCAGTTTTCAAACAAGGACGCATTAAACGAGGTAAGGTGCTAAACGTAATTTTTATTTCTAACTTGGTTCTTTCTTGTAAACTCTATGATCAATTTATCCCATTTCTTTGGTGAGTCCTAACCCTCCTTTACCAACACCTCCTAGATTTTGTTTGTTTTACTCAGACTCTACACAATTTGCACTGAATTCTCGTTATGAAAAATCAACTGAGATTTTAACTTCTGCTAAGTTACAAAATCCCTAATGCTTTAGTTTAAGCAGCAGGACACCAGGAGTTCGGAGTGCTGTGGGTCATGTGATCAATTGACCTCTATCTGGGTTCTGTGATTCTGCCTAGTAACAATTGATTAATGGTGTATGGTAAATTTGGGAGAATATCTCATCAGTTCCCCGAGTTTGAAAACTTCCTCATTATCTTGGGCCTTTCACTGCTGCCCTTAGAAGATTTTACTCACAAATTAGGTTGAACAAAGTCTTCTCAAAGAAATTATTTTCGCTGTTTGGTCATCAGGGAGCAGAAGGCTTGATGGTCATTTACAGCATTGAAATAGGGAGGCAAGTGGCCATTAGAAAGCAGGGACATCATTCAGGCTTCCTTCCTCTTTGCTCCAGCTCCGGGCTTTCAGAAGAAGCAATGTAACAAAACTTTCACTCCAGTGACAAGTTGGTCTCAAACTTTCTCTCTCTGTCTCTCTCTCTCTCTTTCTCTCTCTGTGTGTGTGTTTGTGTGCGTAGGTTTAGAATTTCTGATTTTTGTAATGGGATAGCTGTTATGAACACTTTTTTTTGTTTTTTTTTTTTATTATTATACTTTAAGTTTTAGGGTACATGTGCACAACGTGCAGTTTTGTTATATATGTATACATGTGCCATGTTGGTGTGCTGCACTCATTAACTCGTCATTTAGCATTAGGTATATCACCTAATGCTATCCCTTCCCCCTCTCCCCACCCCACAACAGTCCCTGGTGTGTGATGTTCCCCTTCCTGTGTCCATGTGTTCTCATTGTTCAATTCCCACCTATGAGTGAGAACATGCGGTGTTTGGTTTTTTTGTCCTTGTGATAGTTTGCTGAGAATGATGGTTTCCAGCTTCATCCATGTCCCTACAAAGGACATGAACTCATCATTTTTTATGGTTGCATAGTATTCCATGGCGTCTATGTGCCACATTTTCTTAATCCAGTCTATCATTGTTGGACATTTGGGTTGGTTCCAAGTCTTTGCTATTGTGAATAGTGCTGCAGTAAACATACATGTGCATGTGTCTTTATAGCAGCATGATTTATAATCCTTTGGGTATATACCCAGTAATGGGATGGCTGGGTCAAATGGTACTTCTAGTTCCAGATCCCAGAGGAATCGCCACACCGACTTCCACAATGGTTGAACTAGTTTACAGTACCACCAACAGTGTAAAAGTGTTCCTATTTCTCCACATCCTCTCCAGCACCTGTTGTTTCCTGACTTTTTAATGATCGCCATTCTAACTGGTGTGAGATGGTATCTCATTGTGGTTTTGATTTGCATTTCTCTGATGGCCAGTGATGATGAGCATTTTTTTTTTTTTTGAGACGGAGTCTCGCTCTGTCGCCCAGGCTGGAGTGCAGATATGATGTTGTATGATTCTACTCTTTTCCCAGCTTTACCAACCTCCCTTTACCGTACCCAACACATTCCTGTTTAGAGTGCTTTCAATTATTCATGACCATCCTTTCTTTTTGCTAATTCCTAGGATATATCAACTTATTCCAATTTGCTTCCATATTCTATGATCCATTTCATTTTATCTTTATGTCAAAACTTGTAAAAGAGGGACAAATATATCCAGAAGTTGAGAGATATTTTGATTGTAAAAAGCACCACACACATTTTTCCTCTCTATTGCAAAATAATAGTAATAATAAGAATAATAGTAATAATGATAATAATAATGGCTAAAGTATACTGATTATTTACTATGTGCTAGGCCCTCTGCTAAGCAGTTGATACATACCTCACATTAAGTCTGAGTCGGTTACTATGATATTATTTTATATATGAAAATAAAGACTTAGTGGGTGTAAATATAATTCATGACTGTCTTAAAATAAGAAATAGCTAAGTTGAGGCCTGACTACATGGGCATCTATTTCTAACAATTGTGCTAGTAACTCCACTCTATGCTACCTCTTCATGTGAAAATACTCTGTTCATTTATTTATTTATTTTTACTTTATTTATTTATTTATTTATTTATTTATTTATTTATTTATTTTTTGAGATGGAGTCTTGCTCTGTCACTCAGGCTGGAGTGCAGTGGTGCAATCTCGGCTCACTGCAAGCTCCGCCTCCCGGGTTCATGCCATTCTCCTGCCTCAGCCTCCGGAGTAGCTGGGACTACAGGCGCCTGCCACCACGCCCAGCTGATTTTTTGTTTTTGTATTTTTAGTAAAGATGTTTCACCGTGTTAGCAAGAATGGTCCCGATCTCCTGACCTTGCAATCCGCCTGCCTTGGCACCCCCCCAAAGTGCTGGGATTACAGGCGTGAGCCACCACGCCCGGCCTCATTCATTTATTTTTTTCAGCACATATTAATTGAGCACCTACTATCTGTTTAGCACTGTTTTAAGTACTGAAGATTCAGCATTACGCAGACAAAAATCCCTGCTTTCACAGAGTTATATTTTCAGTTTTATGTGAATAAATTTATATCTACTTCAATGTTTGCGTCAATTATTTTGGGGGACTAAAACAATCTTCTCCAATGAAGATGTGTGTTACCATATACAACGAAGCTGATTTTCAGCTATTTGGAGTTGCTGTCATTTGGCATCAGACTATACATCCAATATTATTCAAATAATTTATCATATTACCTTCCCAGTGATGTGTTAGAAGTCTGATCTGAAATTTGCTTTGATAATTCTTTTTCTTCAAATAACTCTCCTTTTTGTAATTATTCTATCAAAGGCTTCTTCCTTATCATTAAACAGTTATTTGTATTCTATTATACTTGTGTATATTTATAATTTAATGGCAAGGTGACATAGTGGAAAGAATGTGAGCTTTGGAACTAGAAAGAGGTATATTCCAGTCCTTAGAGGCTAGATCCTTAATCTCTCTAAGCCCTAATCCAAGTTCCAAATCTTTAAAATGGAGGAAATAATTCTTACCTGGCTGGATCCTTAGGAAGGTTAATAGTGATATATGAATTGCTTTAAGTTTAGTGCTTAGCACAGAGTAGATCTTCATGAATATAACTTATTATGATTATTTTTGTTGATAGCTCAGGTTTTCAGGAGCTGGGATTCTTCTTTAATTGCCTGTGATATAGAGAGCAATCCTTATACAACTAAGTATCTTCCAAAGTAGATCATAAGTCGGTAAACAGCAGTATCCAGGAGGCTTTTCCATATGTACTGATGTTCTAGCTCATGAGTTCTTCTGCCTTTGCTGTGTATTTAAGCCAGAAGCCAGGGCTTTGTTATGAGGACTACTTGCTTTGAGCATTGATCCTAGATAAGGGAATCATTTGCTTAGGGAACAGTGAGAAATCCAGACCCCACTTGTGTGTTAGGCACAATAGGTACAGAGCCTAGCAGCCACTATACTATCCAGGGCTCCATGAAAATGTCTTAATTTCTTTTAAAATTAAAAAAAATGAGTGTAATCCAGCTTATATTATAGTAGTCTTTATACCATTTCAGTAGGGGCCCACGAAAGCAAAAGGATTTAGGACCCACGAAAGTCAATTGTGGCTCTGTGGGAAAACCCATGAGTTGTCATAGAGCCGCCTTCCAGGTATCTCTGAAGTGTGTCTTGGATAGGAATTCATTTATTCATTCAACAAATATGTAACAAAGGCCTACCATGTTCAAAATATTGCTCTTGGTATTAGCGATACTGTAATAAACAAAACTTCTTACCTTGTCTTTTAATAACCTTGGGTAAAATATTCCCAACACCCCAAATTCCTGGTCTTAGAATAATTATCTTGTGGTCTGGGTATTGCTAGGCCCTAGTGACTCTCTGATGATGACTTGTCTTTGCTACCAGGCTCAGAGAGCTACCTGTGGGCAGACAATGTCAGTCACTCATCCTTGTGTCTCCAAGTGACAAATAGAGCTCTATAAGGTTGGTGGAATGATTATCGAATGTTTCTCTGTGTTTCTTTTCCAGTTCATTCTGCTTTTTTTTCCCCAACAATTTGTCCCAAGTCAATACAAGGATTATCATCAATGGAGGCTACTTGTTAACAAAACATTCTTTTCTCTGTGCTTCCAAATATAAACAATGTACTAAAAATAAGAACTCCAGATATTTATATCTATAGCAGGTTTAAAATTTCAGAAATAAAAGAAGCCCTTGCCGTCTTATGTAATGTTCTCCGAGACAGCCCTAATTAGGAGCACTCAGGTGTCACACTCAGGTGTAGTAGAACTTGGGATAAGTTCTATCACAAGTTATTGACAAGATTCTGCCACTCAAAATTTTTTATCATCCCAGAAGTACCTAAATAGTGTCTTAAGTGAAGTTGACAGAGTGCTTTCATGCTATTTTTTCCTCTCGTGATAATTAAAGTGGTCTTTGAACAAAATATGTATTGCATTTGCCCGGAAAATTGTTCAAGTTATTTTTTCTTGTTCTGTACCTGAAAGGAGACAGGCTATTCCCTAGCTCATTCATCCATTCGATCATTTACAAAACATTTATTGAGCAGCTACTATGTTTCATGGAAGGAGTTTGGCACTAGGAACAAATTGGTGCACAAAGACATTGCCTTTCTCCTTAAGGAGCTTTGTGCCAGTGGGTGGGAGATAGATGATGCTGTCAGAAAGCATAATAGGAGAAAATGACTTAGTCAGAGGCCCCAAAGGAAGGAAATGGGAAGTGGAAGAGTATTTCAGATGTGAGCGCTGGCTGGTCCAAGACTCTGGAGAGGAAAATGAGCTGGCATGCTGGAGGCTAGTGTGTCTGGAACACAAGGAGTGAAGGGACTGTGATCAGAGGTGAGGTGGATGAGTTAGTGGAGGCCAGACCCCAAGTGCCTTGACACCTTGTTAAGGATTTTTATTTTCTTCTAATAGCAATGGAGAGTCACTAAAAGGTTTTAAGCAGTGGGATGGGCTCTGAACACAGAGCAGAATGTAGATTAAAGCAGAAACAAGCAGTCAGCCTACAGGCCATGCACTGTGGTCCAGAGAAGTGATAATGGCAACTTGGACCAAGACAGTGATTGTAGAAATGGACAAATGGATTCACAGATACCATTCACTGACTTTGGTGTTCTCTGGCAGCACCTTACTCCATGCCTACGTGGTATACTGATGACATGCAAAGGCACAGGATAAAATGCTAGGGAGCTTTTACAATTCCAGATGGCAATTTAAAAATTGTTTTATATGAAAAAATAGAATATGAAATAGAATGAAACATTCATTTGACATTTAAAGATAAAACAGAAGACCTCAAAGACATTTTCTGTTTGGGCCAGGATCTGTTAGGCTGAACCTCCTGGTTTCCCTTTGTGTGTGTGTGCATGTGTCATTTGCCTCTGACAGTAGTTTCTATGGAATAATTTGAAAAATGCTGTGTTGAGGTGCTACCATCCTCCAGACCTTGGGTAGTTCTTGTCTCTTGATAAATGAATCTTGAAAAATTCGAAGGTTTTCAAAACTCAAAGTGACTCTTTCATGGGAAAATACCAAAAATTGGGACAGAGGACTCAAGAATGCCACTCACATTACATTGCAGTAGCAGGTGTTGACCTTAAAGACAAATTAAAGCTGACCTTCTGCTTTACGTACTTTAATTAGAGTCCTCATCGCTTTTTTCCATTGTACAAATCACCATAATAACAGCATATAGCCATGTATTGCTTAATCATGGGGATCTGTTCTGATAAATGCATCATTAGGTAATTTTGTTATCGTGTGAACATCAGAGCGTACTAACACAAACCTAGATGGTATAGCCTTCTACACACCTAGGCTAGGCTATATGATATATCCTATTGCTCCTGGCTTACAAACCTGTACAGCATTTTACTGAACTTAATACTGTAGGCAATTACAACACAACGGTAAGTATTGTATCTAAACATATCTAAACATAGAAAAGGCACAGTAAAAATACAGCATTATAATCTTAGAGGACCTTCATCATATAAGCAGTCTGTCTTTGACCAAAATATTGTTATGCAGCACATGACTATATTCTTGGCATTTCTCCCATTTCACTTCCTCTCTCATCTTGCTTTTTAAGACAACAAGGTCTTTATGTATTTGTTCTATTATTTAGATTTATTCTTATTTGAGGATTTTCTTTGAAGTTAATGTTTAATGCAGGCACCAATTTAACTTGATTACCTTATAGAATCAGAGACTCCTTAATAGTCGTTACATCATTTAGGACTCTTGATTTTAAATGACCAGAAGTGCAATTCTAATAAACATAACTAAAGAAGAAAGGTTATTGGTTCATATAACTCGAGAATACGGAGATAATTGAGGCATGGCTAAATCTAAGAATTCAAGAAATATCAAGAAATTTTAGGATCGATCTCTTTCTTTCTTTCTTTCTTTCTTTCTTTCTTTCTTTCTTTCTTTCTTTTTCTTTCTTCTTTTCTTTCTTTCTTTTTCTTTCTTTCTCTTTTCTCTCTCTCTCCATAGTCTAGTTGAGTTAGTTGTGTGCTTTTTTTTCACACTAGCAGGAAACAATGGCTCACACATGTAATTCCAGTGACTTGGGAGGCTGAGATGGGAGGATCAATTGTACTCAGGAGTTTGCAGTTGCAGTGAGCTATGACTGCACCACTGCACTCCAACCTGGGCTACAGAGTGAGACCCTCACTTAAAAAATATGTATTAAAAGACCAGGCACGGTGGCTCACGCCTCTAATCCCAGCACTTTGGGAGGCTGAGCCGGGCAGATCACGAGGTCAGGAGATCAAGACCATCCTGGCTAACATGGTGAAACCCCGTCTCTACTAAAAATACAAAAAATTAGCCAGGCATGGTGGTGGGCGCCTGTAGCTACTTGGGAGGCTGAGGCAGGAGAATGGCATGAACCCAGGAGGTGGAGCTGGCAGTGAGCCGAGACCACGCCACTGCACTCCAGCCTGGGTGACAGAGTGAGACTCCATCTCAAAGAGAACAACAAACACGTCAGGATGATACAAAAGTAGCATAGAAGAAAAATTATAATTCCCATGTTTATGCTTATTCATTTTATATAGAAAGACAAGGAGTACAAGGGTGGGTTAGGTGAAAAGTCACTTGGAATCTTCGTTTTACCTCTCTCAGACTTAGAGATAATCTCAATTCTCTTCCCAAATAGTAAGATTCTTGCAATTCTGTGTAAAGAATCTCGTAAATGTAGAATTACTCTTTCAAATAGACATCATCTTAGTAACTGATTACTTGGTTAGAAAATCATACAGTCAACTCAAGTATGAAGTATTAGCATTTTATTTCTATGTAAACTTCAACTGTCAGTTTAGATGCCACTTCTTCCAGGAAGTCTTCCTAATCTACCTCCCTCTCACCCTCCAGCAAGGTTGGGTTAGTGGCCTTTCCATGTAGAAGATAGTTCAGCATTTGGACTTTGGAGATAAAGATTTTAGTGTTGGAAGTCCACATTTTCCTCTCAGTGGCTGGGTGATCTGCAAGTCACTTTCTCTTCCCTTGGTGTCAGTTCTCACTCCATGAGCTGAAGAGAACAACTCTAATCCATAGGTTCGTGTGGTGGACTAAGTGGGAAAACCTTGGTAAAGTTCTTAGCACCGTGCTGGCTGCTCAGAGCAAAACACTCAATAACAAATAGCTTTCATAACTAGTATTATTTATTTATTGTATTTTATCCTTTACTTGTTTCTGTCTCCCCTACCATTCAAGATTTTTTTTGTGTGGAGATGGAGTCTCACTCTGTCACCCAGGTTGGAGTGCAGTGGTGCAGTCTCAGCTCTCTACAGCCTCTGCCTCCCCAGCTGAAGTCATTCTCCTGCCTCAACCTCCCGAGTAGCTGAGATTACAGGTGCATGCTACCATGCCTGGCTAACTTTTTGTATTTTTAGTAGAGATGGGGTTTCGCCATGTTGGCCAGGCTGGTCTTGAACTCCTGACCTCAAATGATCTGCCTGCCTCGGCCTCCCAAAGTGCTGAGATTACAGGCATGAACCACCGCACCCGGCCCCACTCAAGATTTGAAAAATGAAATATATCTCTTTTCTGTTGTTGTTGCTCACAGCACAGACCCTGCCACTGGATTACATGTGAATCCCTGCTCCACTACTACAATCTATATGACCCACAGCAAATCACCTAATCTGTAAAGCCTCTGGTTCCTTGCCTACAAAATGTGGGTAATATCAGTATCCACTTCTTAGGTTATTGTAAGAATGAAGTGAGGTCATATTTGTCAAGGGCTCAAAAGAGTATCTGGGACATTGTACATATTCAATGTTAATTATTAATATTATTATTGTTGATGTTGTTAAATTCCTAATGCCTCTATCAGTGTTCAGTAAACAGTTGGGCATCAATAAATGTTTCCTGATCAACAAATGGATATTTTATACTTACCCTGTCATACGCTTTCACTTCCAGTCTTAGTTCCCATGTTATTAGCCTAAACAGAGCACCATGAAAGCAGAAAACCTGTTCTCCAATAATTACAACTTATGTCTGGGTTACCTGCTGTCTCCATGCCATGGTGTCCCATCTTTCAACACGAGAGAGAGAAAGCTGGACTCTTTCTCCTGCCTGTATTCAAACCCATAAGAGGCATCAGCTTTAACATTTCAAGCTAGCGTTTCAGGAAGAGTAAATTCATCTTCAACCACACACCTAGTCATTTTCAACCACACACCTAGTCATTATGTTGACATCTCATTTCCTGCTCTCTCATGACACTGGTTTTTCTCTATCAGTGATTTCTGACAGGAACAGTGAACTAGCATGTGTGGAAGGTGAGTTCCTGGGGGAACCAATTTTGTTAGCAATTTCTCTTTCTGCCAGCTGTAGCTTCCAAACATTGCCTATATTTTTGCTTTTATTTCTATATCTATTTTATATAAAACAACAAAATATATACATCAATAAGTATATAAATACATATACACATATATATTTAACAGCTTTATTGAGATATAATAAAAACCCTGCATATATTTAATGTATGCATTTTGATGGGTTTGAATACATGCATACATCTGAGGAACCATTACCACAATCAGTGTAATAAACATCCATCACCTCCAAGTTTCCTCCTGCCCATTTGGTGTGTGGTGGTGGGGGGCAGTAAGAACACTTAACTTGAGATCTACCTTCTTAAGAGCATTTTAAGCATATAATAAAGTATTGTGAACTATAGGCATGATGTGGTACAGCAGATCTCTGGATCTTATTTTATCTTGCATCATCAAAACTTTATACCTACTGATGATGGAATATTATTCAGCCTTAAAAGAGAAGGAAATCCTGCCTTAGGCAACAATGCAGATGAGCCCAGAGGAGATTATGTTAAGTGAAATAAGCCAGGCACAGAAGGACAAATACTGCCTCCCACTTACATAAGGTATCTAAAGCAGTCAAACTCAGATGCAGGGAGGAGAATAATGGCTGACAGGAACATTCAGGAGGGGAAAATGTGGAGTTTCTACATGCCCATTTATCAAAACTTGGCTGTCAGGTGCACTTACAGTGGTAGTACTGAGAGAAGCCATTGGATTTATTTTGGAGGAATCGCTATTAGATTCTTTGGAAGGAACAGGCCAAAAATACTGAGTGAGTTTCCCCACTTAGAGCCCCAGTGAAATGTCCACGTTGCTATTAATACATGAGCAATGGAAGAAGAGCCTGTCTTGTTCATCTCTCCTGCCTGCTGTTTCACGTCAGCACATACCAAGGGGTGATGAGACCACTCACCCAGCTCACCTGTGCTGACTGGCAGGTGCCACGTGCCCAGCCACAGCCCAGTGCAGGAGTGGAGATGAGGTGTCCCCATTTTATCCCAACAGCTCTCCTCAACACAGCCCCTTCTACTGCTCCCAGCATCTCCTTTCCATATGACTGGGCAGACCCCAGCTCTACAAATCACTGAATGCTCAGTTTGCAATATTACACTCTTGGGCTTTTTTTGTTTTTGCTCTTTTTTCTGTCTTAGTGGAGAAAAAACAGAGATGATTTTTAAAGTGTATTTTGGTTCAGTGGAGGAAAAAATGATTTCTAAAAGCATCTTTTGAAATGAGCTAGTTTCATTTTCACAGAAAATCCACATGGCTAAGGTGGTTTTAAAAAAACCCTTAACATCTGGTAGACATAGCCCCCCCATTGTTGCTCCCACACCATATTTGTTATTTGAGTACCCTTTTTCTAAGGTTTTCATTTTTGAATCAGTTTGTTAAGTTCCTTCCCTACCATCCACTTTTTGTTCTCAATAAATATCTTGATGAAATTCTGGGTGCAATTCCTTTTTTTAATATATTGAGCAATTTTCAGAAAGAAATTTACTTTTAAAAATCTTTCAATATTCTATCCATGAATGTGATTTATTCTTCAACTTATTTAGATATTTTCTGTATCTCTTAATAGAATTAAAAAATTGTGCTCATCGGGTGCAGTGGCTCACACCTGTAATCCCAGCACTTTGGGAGGCCAAGGCAGGTGGATCACGAGGCCAGGAGATTGAGATCGTCCTGGCTAGCACAGTGAAACCCCATCTCTACTAAAAATACAAAAAATTAGCCGGGCGTTTTGGCGGGTGCCTGTGGTCCCAGCTGCTGAGGAGGTTGAGGCAGGAGAATGGCGTGAACCCGGGAGGTGGAGCTTGGGTGAGCCAGGATCACACCACTGCACTCCAGCCTGGGTGACAAAGCGAGACTCCATCTCAAAAAAAAAAAGAAAAAGAAAAAGAAAAAGAAAATTGTGCCCATCAAGGTCAGATGAATTTTTATTATATATCAGTGGTTCTCAAGTGTAATCCAGAAACTACCAGAGATCTCTGATACCCTTCTGAGGAGTCTGTAAGATCAAAATACTTTTCATATTTACATTAAGAAATTATTTACCTTTTCATTCTCATTTTCCAGAAGCTAAATGAACCATAATGCAGAAGCAGATACGATAGTTTAACCAAACATTAGAGATTTGCAGAAATGTAACATAATGCCATCCTTCTGTTTAATTTTTTTGGAAAATATAGTTACTTTTCATTAAATAGTATTATTTGTGTTATAAATTAATAAGTTTATTATAATTTTTGAATTAATATACAGTTATTCTTTCTATCCCCCTTTCCATATGGTACTTTTTGAAAGGAAGTCACCATGGACAGGCCACACAGAAATTACAGGGAGCTATGGTTCTTCACCTTGAAGAGTGAGTATCGTTTGGTATGATTTTGCTAGCGTAAGTTGTTGAATTTTGTTTGATTTTGTATCCAGCAATCTTCCCAAACTTGATTAGTAATAGCACTTTAAAAAATTTCCTGTGTTTTTATTGTAAATAATTATACTATCTAATTGTAAAAATTTTATTTCTCTTTCAATCCCTTCTCTAATTTTTAAAAATATTTCAAAAACTAGCACTAATCTCAACTCTACTTCAAGTATCATCACCAAATTGACCTAAAAGTAACATTAATTATCACATGTTATCAATTCTAGAAGGAGGATGATGAGGAGGGCTAAATCAAAAACAACTATGAAAACTCCTATCCTGTTCATCAATTGCACAAATAGACTGAATAACAGCCATCCTAACCTACAGTGTACTATATTGGTCAGCTTTCATTACGTTATGATAATAAATCACATCACTCCCAAATCTCAGAGGTTTACAAGATCAAAGATTGATCTATTTTTTGGTCACCTTTACTTACCCCATTGGTTGTGGTTGACAGCAGCTCTGTCTCCTTTCTTTGGGATCCAGATGGAAGAAGCAACCCCTAGCTGATACCTCGCCTTCTTATGGCAGAGGAAAAAGCACAATGGCAGAACCACAGGGTAATTGTTAATGCTCCTCCTTGGACATGGGATGGTCACACTTGCGAACAATGGGATGGGAAGTTCACTCTTGCAATGGGGAGAGTACCAGGGAAGAGGTCTCTAGAGCTGGGCCTAGTGCAGAGGGTGGTAAGTAATTATCAAGGATTAACATTAGAATCTTCTGCAAACACTAGGAAGAATAATAATTATGGGAGTCATCAACTTTGTTTCCATCCTTAAAGAAAATGAGTGAAAAGTTTTTTCATTAAGTATAATGCTTGCTGTAGGTTTTTGGTAGATAGCTTATTAACATGTTACAGAACTATTATTTGCAGTTTTAACTTTTTAAACATATTACCTTGACATTAAAATTTATTAAAAGTTTTTCCCCCTATATGTCTACTAAGGTGACTATGCAATTTTTCTTTTTTAGTACATTAACATGAATTAAATGGAATTTTGTTTTCTAGAGACAGAATCTTGCCCTGTCACCCAGGCTGGAGTGCGGAGGCATGATCATAGCTCACTGTAACCTTGAACTCCTGGGCTCAAGAGATCCTTTCACCTCAGCCTCCTGAGTAGTAGGGATTACAGGAGCATGCCACCATGTCCAGCTAATTTATTTTTATTGTTAGTAGAGACAATGTCTCCCTATTTTGCCCAGGCTGGTCTCAAACTCTGGTCTCAACCTCCCAAGTCACTGGGATTACAGGTGTGACCCACTGTGCCCAGCCAATGAAATGGATTTTAAAAAAAAAGTTTGTCTGTCTTGTTTTCCTGAGTAAAAAAAAAAAAAAAAAATCCTACTTGATCATAATACTTGATCAATATTCCATTGAATTCTGCAAGATAGTATTGTATTTGGGATTTTACACTTATTTTATTAAATGAAATTGGCCTATAAGTTTTCTCTATTTATATGCCCTTCCTTAATTTTTGTTACAAAATTATAGCCTCATAAAAGGAATTGGGCTGCTTTTCTTATTTCTCTGTGTTATAGAGCAATTTATCTAAGGTCAGGATTACTTGTTCCTTTGAAGTTCGGCATAAAACTATCTTAGTCTAGTTTTTGGAGGGGAGAGAGAGGATGTTATATATTTAATTTCAATGTATTTCATAGGTTTGTGCATTTAAGTTTTTTGTTTCTTGTGTCAATATTGGCTTTTTACATTTTTTCCAAAATTAATGTGTTTAATATAGGTTTCAAAATTATTGGTATATGGCTGTTCATGATACTCTTTTATAGTTTTAAAAACATCTGTATACAATTTTTTACTAATTCTATCAACCTGTTTTATTTTTCCTTTTTGTAAGATTTTTTCAGCAAAATCAGTATCCCTGAAGCTTTTGAAGATTATTTACTCATAGAAATAAGGTTCTGCTTTTTGAGTTATCAACCTCAGGTTGTTGTAGGAGATATCAATAAAAATACATATTTAGTATTTAAGGATTGAAATTCAACTGAATTTAGGCAATGCATTTACTATAAAGCTTGTAAATAAAATATTGGTGGAAAAAAAAGAGTCATGATTTTTTTTTCTCCAAAGGTCATCTCTTTTCTCATGAATGAAACTTTAAAATTGCCAAATGTGGATAGAACCAAGCAGTGAAGATATCAGGAGGAAAGATAATTCAATTCTGGCATATCAGTTAGGAGCTCGAAAACTAAAGGAAACAAATTTTAAAGTGAGCATAAAGTGTTTGGCCAGATTGAAAGCATAGCAGCTGGAAACCTCTGTTTATCAAATTTAAACCAGTTGTGTTCTGTTTTTTTGTTTTTGTTTTCTTTTTGGCAACAAGTGCTGAACCTTGAGAAGGATTCATTTATTCAGTAAATATGAAAATAAGGTTTAAAACAAGAGCATGTTCATGTGCATGCATACACACACAGACACACACAGACAGACAGACACAAACAGTAGAAAAACAAAATACCTTTTTCTATGCCCAGATGAATCAATGTATAATAAACTAGGTTCCCAAAATCAGCCACAGTGAGAAAGGGTAACAAGTGAGGAATGATCTATAAGAAGAATTCTAGCTCTATAGACTGAGAAATGGAGAGATTTAAATGGAGACTTCTAAGGGAAAGAAAAAAATTATTAAGAGCTCCATCTATACTAAGTATTATACATATTTAATGCTTGCTACAACCCAGGGAGGTAGGGTTTACTGTTCTCAGTTTAAAGATGTACCCACAGTTAACCATCTCATCTGGGAAGGACACAGGAGCATCTGATTCCAGAGTTCCAAGTCCATGTTTAGCAGCACAGGCATCACAGATAAACTGTCTTGAGTTTGAATCCTGCTCTGCCACTTGACAGCTATGTTGCCTTGGCTGTATTACTTAGCGTCTCTCTGCCTCAAACTCCTTATCTGTAAAACAGAATTACTATCAGTACCTATTTCCTAGGATGTTGTGAGGATTAAATAAATGAGTACATAATAAAGCACTTAGAGGGGTTTCTGTCCCTGAATAAGCCCTTAGTAATAACTTACTGAGTGTCTGAAAGGCAGAGAGGAACTAAAAAAGCAGGACAGGGCAATAGGAGTGCTCTTGGGGGGATTTTTCTTGACCCTGGACAGCACACTGAGTACTTACTGTGAGTATGCGAAAAGCACTTTTCTGCTCGTCCTCCTTGGACTTTGGCTTTCTAGGTAAAATAGCCACTATGAGGAGACCTGCTGTGAGTGCATCAGTCTGAAACTGCTCACATATTAACGCTGACTCAGACCCATGAAGTCATCAGGTAAAAGACAAGTGCTTCTCTTTCTCTTTCTCTTCTCTTTCTCCTCCTCCTTTTCCTTCTTCTTTTCCCTAATTTCTGGCTTCCTAAAGTAATTTAATTGTACTATATCCATACCACCTTCTTATTCTTACCTCTTGGGTCTTTAGACAAAACATCCTGTATATTAGTAAAGTTGACATGGTATTAGAAATTTCAGAGTCCTGACTTTTCATTTCACAGATGGGATAATGACAGGAAAGTGAGATGGTGGCTCAAGATTACAGAGTTGGTGGTCGAGGTAAAACTACATAAATGGAATGTGTCCTCTAGTAGTTGGAGTGATAACACCCTCCATTACAGTCTAAAATGGCCAATATACAATGCTGTGTTTATTCTTAAAATAACTACTTAAAGCAGTCATTATGTTCATTAAAATTTTATTTACAGTTTTAATTATATAGTATATATGTATGCTCAAGACATTCTTAGGATTTTGTTATTACCTTTAAAAAAATCCTAGTGACTCTATGTGAAAAAAGAAGGCCACATTCCTTCTTCTTTTATGGAACTGAACCTGGGCAAAGGCCTCCCAGTGGTCACCTAACAGGTCATTGGTGAATCTAGGCTGAAAATATGGATTCTAGCTCCCAGATGGTCCTAGACTGAGTCATATCGGCATAGGAAGAATGACTAATATCCTAACAGCTAAATGTCATCAGGTGTTGAAGATGTGGGAGGAAAACAACCTGTGTTAAAAATGTTCTTCTACTTCATGTCTATGAGGGAACACACAGGTAGCATAAAAATAATAACTGGAACAAATGAGCAAAGTAGTGTTTGGTGTGACTATAATGAACTTGTGATTTACTAGAAGCGGAGAGTCTGGAAAATACTGAACAGAAAACACACTTGGGTGACATTCAAGAGACAGAAAAGCAGATCATGTGCTAGTCAGGAGGCCCGATCATTCCTTCTTGCTGTGGCCTCTGACTAGCTGCATGTCCTGCAGACTTAAGTTAACCTGCCTCCCTGGACCCCAGTTTTCTCCTGTGTGTTTGGAAAGCTTCAGATTTGCTTGTTTCTAAATTCTCTTTAGAAAAATAGACTCTCAGTGATTCAAAGTCTAAAATTCTGTCTAGTCTTGGTCTTGCACTATTTTCTTTGAGCCCATTTTCATTGAAAAAGAAACCCACTATCATCTCTGTATCAGGTGTCAGAGGGAGTGCATTAGAAAATAAGGGTGTTCTTTCTTGAAAACGTATTAAATGAAATCTAGTTTTCAAAACAGTTTCTCATGAGGGGCAGCTCAACATAATGGTTATGTACTCAAGCCATGGAGGCAGATACCAATCAGTAAGAAATCGAATGATCTTCATCAAAGGATGAAATTGTTTTGTGGGCCTCAGTTTGCTCAGTGGTGCTGGGTAGGGAGTAAATAATTTTGCACAGTGCTTGGCATATGCTAAACACTAAGAGCTCCTATCATTCCCTTTCTTGGTCTTAACATGTTCAACTGAGCAGATTGCCTGAGTGGCTCCTTTAATGCCAACATAATTATGATGCTAGAGACCTAGAAATAAGACAGCCATGGTCAATGTTTTGCCCCAGGAGAGTGTGTTCCTCTTCCTACCTGTGTTTATTTCACCTCACTGTCTAAGGTAATGCTTCAAGTAATTTAGTCACTCTATTTCCATATCACCTCCTTGTTCTCACCTCTTAGATCTATAGGCACAGCATCCTGTATATTAATAAACTTGAGAGTTGGCCAATCATGTAAATGAGCAGTCTAGATCTTTCATTTCATAGATGAGGAAACATGCCAAAGATTTAAATGATGGGTCCACAATTACAGAGTTGGTAATAGAGCTAAAGTTACATTGTTAGCACATACTCTCTAGCAGTTGGAGTGATACATTTTCCTTCATAGTAGAGTGCAGCTAATATCCAGTGCTGTGTTTGTTTTTTAAATAATTATTAAAATCTATCAGCAAGGTAAAAGCCAATCAAATGAAACCATTCAATGCATATGTTGAAAATGAATAATCGTTGCAGCATTTGAGTGGGGAACACAGGACCCAGAGTACTATATCCCCCAGTGTCCTGTGTCCTTGGCCTTACTCTTCATGGTCATAGCTTGCTGTCATTCTTCTAGAGCTTCCATTTACTTAATATTTTTCTCAGCTTCCACAGTGCTAAGTGCTTTACCTACTCTGTCTCATTTACTCCTAATAAAAACCTAGTAAAATTGGCATTACTGTCCCCATTTTACAGAGGGGGCAAACTAAGGCTAAAAGGGAATATCTTGCTGGAGTCACACAAGTAGTGATTGGCAGAACCAGCATCACAGCTGATAGGTCTCACTCCTTCCCATTGCACTTTCTTGCCTCTCACCCTGTATGAAAGCCACTGTTCAGGGCTTCCTGTTTGACATAGCTACATATGGAAATTCAAAGGATTGTCTCTTCCACTAGTGAAAATTGCATCTAAACATTGTATCTTCCCAAAGACAATTATTTCATAGTGGTATGTTTGTGTGGCTGTTGCGGTTAAGCTGCTGTTGTACATGAAGTATACAGTAACTGATTCTTAGCTTAGGGTGCACACGACACACCTTGGGTAGGTAGGTGCTAAACCTGAAATCCAGAGGAGGCCTCCCATGCCCCACTTTACAGGGGTCACTGTGGCTTGCAAAAAGTCACACAGCTGTTGCCTGATACATAACAAGGTGCTGTCCTGCTATTTTGGAGCTGTGAAAAAAATTCCCAGAATTACTGCTTTGCCCCTGGCAAAGCAAATCATATAATTCACATTTCTGGATTATTGGTTTTGTCCTGTATTTCATAATTCTTTCCTACCTTGTTTTGGGAAACTGTCAAAATTATCCCATTCTGATATTATCATAACTGAAGAAAGGTATCATGTTATATTTTGATAAAGAGAGAACAGATTACAACTCCTTTATCAATCTGACATATTTTGGATGTTTTTCACTTTTTAAGACCTAGATGTTTTAGATCATTAAAAACAAAAAATCACACAGGAAGGGGAACATCACACTCTGGGGACTGTTGTGGGGTAGGGGGAGGGGGGAGGGATAGCATTAGGAGATATACCTAATGCTAAATGACGAGTTAATGGGTGCAGCACACCAGCATGGCACATGTATACATATGTAACTAACCTGCACATTGTGCACATGTACCCTAAAACTTAAAGTATAATAATAATAAAATAAATAAATAAATAAATAAAATAAAATATTGATCAAATCTTAAAAAAATAAAAATAAAAATAAAAATAAATATCTTTGGGAAAAAAATCAATAATAAAAATGTAAATCAAGTCTACATCATCTAAATCAAATTAAGGTTTTCTTTAGATTTTCACAGTTTTATTGAAGTGTGTTTACAATTTTCCTCCCTCCCTCCCTCCCTTCCTTCCTTCCTTTCTTCCTTCCTTCCCTCCTTACTTCCTTCCCTTCCCCCACCTACTTCCATCTAGTAGAAATGCTCTCCATTCCCTTTGTGCCTGTAAACTCCTCCTGATCCTCTCAAACTCATCTCACATGTGGCTTCCTCTGGAAGCACAGCCTTACCCCCCTCCTTTTCTGCATTTCTGTAGTACTTAGGTCATGTTTTCAGCACAGTGTCCACTATGTTGTACTGTAAGTATTTGCTGCCAATGCTATTTGATCATATGGCTCCCCTGCTCAAAATTCTTTAGGGACTTCCCATTAGTGTCAAAATAAATTCCAAACTCATTAGTCTGAAACCCAGAATCCTTTGTAGTATAAACTCTGAGACTCATTCTATTCATATATTACCATACACATGTTCATCCTGAGTTCTAGACACAAAGCTGGAAGGTTGTAAACGGCTGTGTTATTCAAGTCTACATCTCTAGCTCATTCTTTCCCCAGTGCCTTGAATATCCCTCTCCTCCATCCTTTGCCATTTCAGATGTCACCACTCCTAGAAGCCCTTTCCTGCACTTCCTGGCTCCTCAGGTGAGTCTCTCCTGTGACACCCGTTGCATCCTTACCATAGTACTGAGCACACAGCACTGGATTTGTCCCTCTCCACTAGAGCATGAGTTTGAGGGGAGGGACTGGGTCTTCTATCTTATCTTTATATCCCAAGCACCCCGCTGGGTGCCAGGTACATTTTAGGGGCTCAAGAAATTCTTGTTGAATTTGATAAATTTAGAATAGTCCATTGCCAGTGGTGATTCCAATAGAGTCACTGATGAATATTAAACACTGATTGATAAATTTGTGATTGATAACAGAACAGTCAACCTGAAGGCAGGGGATATTAATGAAATAGACTGGTTCCAAAAACCATTATTATGATCATGACTGTTGTTATTCTTTTTATTCTTCTGAGTTTTAGGGGATGAAACACAATATGAGTATGGCCCTGTCAATGCGATTGATCTGGGGCAGAGTGCTTCCTCCGAGTTGAGCCCAGGTGCTCCCTCAAATGAAGCTGCAGCCACATTTCACCTCTGCTTTATGTCATTTGTCTACTTACGTCATCCGCTTCCTTCCTCTGAACAGCTCCCTCTAAACTCTAATTTTTAAATTTGACCTCAGCAGATGTAATAGAATATTTTGAGCCAGTATATGATTGTTTTAAAATAGCACTTCATTTTGTAGGTTACAAAATGAACAGAGATCCTTAAAACACTACAAAGATAATGAAGACAAAAAGTAAACATCTCTGAAGTTGTCATCAGAAGTCATTTCCCTCCTTGTTTGTGGTTACTCTCCCTCACAGTTCCTGGCAGCCCTGTACTTGTAGAGCTCTGGTCGCTAGCACCAAATGGTAATTTATCATCTTTCTTGGCAGGTTTCCTGCTTCATCCTGCACCTGCCTTCTTGAAAGAAAACAAGACATCAGATACTTATTCAAATAATGGAATAGCTGATCAACTGGGTCTCCACACAAAAGAGAGTTATCCATGATAAAAGAACAACTTTTTCATGCATTATATGTGACACATGCATGCTTTCTCTTAAGATTTATGAACCCATGACTATTAGTATTGTTAATATAATCAAACCTTTTACAGCCTCACTCCAAAGCTTAAACTTATTATCAATTGCCTTCTAGAGGGGAGTCAATCAATTTCATAAGTGCTTAAACACCTGCACTCTCTTTGAATCGGGGAAAAATCAATACCAAGTCCTCATTTTCTCCAAGTATATAATGCAACCAAATCTTGCTTACAAGTTCAGGAGGATTTGTGATTCAACAGTCACACTTTAAAGACGTCATGAGCTTGATCCTGAGTGGTGGCGGTTTTTTTTTTAATGAAAAATTATTAATTCATTTCTGGATGCTAATGAAAAAACAGGTCACTGTCGGGGAAAAATAAAACAGACTCTGCTAATACTGCTTAGGATTAAGTCCCCTGTTTGTGTTCTGCATAGGTGTGTTTTGCAACAAACACAAATCACATACCTATTAACCAGGCATGGTGCCAGTCTCTGAATATACAGATGTGGCTGAGACAGGACCCCTGCCTTCAGGATGCTCATGATCTATTAATGGAAGAAGATGTATAAACAGCTTACTCCAATTGTTATACAAAACAATAATTTAATTGCGTGTAGGGGGATAAAGAAGAGGAGACAGAGAAAAGGAAAGAAATAAGAAAAGAAAAAAAAAGGACAGTGTATTAGATGCTTATTGCTACCAGCCAGGCTAGAACTTCCAATTCTATAATCACTCTTGATTTTTACAATATGTTGTAAAAACAAAGAGGAAGGTGTATTTTCAAAATACTATTAATTTCTTTTTTGTTATATGTTTTTCTTCTTTGTTATTTTGATACGATTTTGAAAAGTAGAGTCTAATATAGGAAGGACTATTTATTCATCACAATAACAACTAAAGTTTATGTTTTTCCTTCTCTGCTTCAGATTTTGTTTAAATATAAGAACTGGAAAACCAAAGGTAAATTTGAAGTCACATTTGTTCCCATTTCCCATCCCATTCTACTTCCTCTCTTCCTGTTAGATGTTACTCCTTTCTTGGATTTTTAAATTTATCCTTCCAGTTTATGTGTTTATAAGTTTACCCCACTTGCTCCCTTCTCAGCTTTGTCATCTCTAAAACACCTTCACTGAGAAACGAAGTGTCCTTCTCATCCCATGGGGCTGTTCTGGGTATCAAGTAAGATACTGATATGAAGTGTTTTGTAAGTTACAAATTAATTACTTTGAAAGGTTTATTATTATTTTATTAATTCTAATTGTATTTATAATCAATTGTGATACTATTTGTCTGCTTATAATTTACACAAATTGACATACATATATAATTTGTGTAATTTCACATTTATACATATTACATATGTATATGTATGTATACATATATGTTACAATTGTCTGTTTTTCTCAGAATTGAGCTTTGATGCTTACCTAGATTACTGGGTATTACTAGAATAGTGCCTGGCCTACACTGAGCACTCAATCAATATTTGTCGGATATGTAGGGTCTCTCTTTCCATTAGACCCTCAGCAACTTGAGGCCAATGTCTCTTTTCATTGCTGCTGATCCCTCAATTCCGGGCACAGTGTTGGTGAACAATAAATATTTATTGAATTGACTCGAACCAGAGAAAGCTTCCTGGAATTGATGGCCTTTTATCTGACACCTGAAGGGCATGCAGGATTTACACAGGGGGTGAAGAATGGACCAGCCAGGCATGCTGAGGAATAATGTGAGCCAAAGCAAGAGACGGTGAAAATAGGTGCCCACTGCTTCTGCTTTGCTCCCTGTGTGCTTGTTTCCGGATTTGGAAGCTGTGCCTAATTAGCACATATCTTCCTAATACTCAAAGTTTTTTTGTTGTCAAGTTTTAAAGCAAAATGCCTGCCATAGGTTAAAATAATCACTGTCTGACCTTTCTTGGAATTTTCCCCAGATACCCTAGAAGGTTATTTTTCCACTTTTTACACCTGGTGTGCTGTTTGATAGTGTGACACCTGGTGACTGGAATTTTCTAGCTCCCCACCTGCTCACAAAATATGTTATTTCTTTAATCTAAAAATACTCTACTTTTTAAAAAAGATGTAGAACAGAAAGGAACAAATTAAAAAGTTTAAATAGTCAAATTAAGCAAGAAATATTCAAGGTTAGCCTGGGCTCCATCTGCCTAGTTTGAGTTTTTGTACAACCTTAGATACAGTTAAAAAAAAATGGAAGAGATAGCTCTCACTTTTACACATGCCTACCTCGACCAAGTTGACACTCCTTTTCTTTGCTTTTTTCTATTTCTTTTAATTCTTCAGAATTTAGAAACCACAAGGGGTACAAATATAGCTACTTTAACTGTAGAGAAAAAGGGGACTGATCAGATCAAATAATATAAAAGGTATTCTCCAGTTTTCCATTTCTGACTCCTCTGATAACAGAGTTTATACACATTTTCCTAAATGATATCATTTAGGAAGTCCAGGGCTGGGCCATCCACTTTCTAAAATAAAGATACAGATATAAATACAACCAGTCTTGGGCTTTTGTTTTATGTATCTTTCTCTTTTCCTTCTATTTTGGATATCTAGTTCTTGGAGTGCTGGTATCATTTCCAAATACAATTTTTCTTATAGTTTGACTATCAAAATTTGATATTAAAGAGACCTCTTCAATAATACACTTTAAGAAAATGCTTTTAGAAGCATTTGAGGAGGCTAATAGAAAGAAGACACATTGCTTGTCCTCAGAGAGCATAAACAGTACCTCAGGTGACACTGGTAAACTTTTACAGGCAATGATCATGTTCTCTCCTTGCAAGGGTGTCTAATCCAGGGGTAGATTATGCTGTGAAAGAGGCCTTCCCACTAAATGCCTGTGAGAAGGTTATCCATTTAAGAAGAACATCAAAGGTGAACTTGATCAACACACCCCTAGACAAAAGATTCAAGATGGCAGTTAATAGTTATTGCAACAGTATGTGCCCATTGCAAACAAAACAAAACAAAACAAAACAAAACAAAACAAAACAGCCTAAGAAATTTCCAAAGCAATCATGAGCAGTGTGTCTGAACTCTATTTTACCACGAGATGCTGACTCCTGCCTTCTCTCCCTGACAGTTTCCAGGTCCCCCAACCCACGTGAGTCTGTTTCTAGAAGTCCTTGGAATGGCTCCTGCTAATGCCATGAACATTTTCAGCATCTTGTCTTTGTCACCTGTAAAATAGCATTAGAACTAGTCCTTCTTTCTATCCTTGGAGCTTCTTTGAGCATCGAATGAAAAGCTGAACGTGAAACTGATTTAATAATTTTAAATTGCTATTAAAATATTATTTTTATTTTATTACACAATTCTAATTCTATTATAATAAAACAGAATGAAATAGATTTAAAATAGGTAAAGCAGTTTTCTATAATTTCCGTAGAAGGAAGGCAAGTCAGGGACATGATCAGTCTTGGTTATTGTTGCATCTCCAGCACCTACCACAGTACGCAGCATATAGAAGACATTTGATAAATACTTGCTGAAAGAAACCAAGAACTGCATGTAATGTGTTATGGACTGAATGTCTGTGCCCCTCCAACATTCTTATGTTGAAATTCTAATCCCTAATATGATGGTATTAGGGGGTGGGACCTTGGGGGTGTGATTAGTTCATGAGGGTGGAGCCCTTATGAAAGAGATTGTGCCCTTATAAAAGAGACCCTCTAGCCCTCTCTCTGCCATGCGAGGATACAATGTGGAGTTGGCAGTCTGCAACCTAGAAGAGAGTCTTTATTAGAACCCGACCATGCTGGCATTTTGATATCAGACACTTTCATCCTCCAGAACTGTGAGAAATGAATTTCTATTGTTAAGAAGCCACCCACTCTATATAGCACTTTGCTATAGGAGTCTAAACTGACTAAGACAGAATGAGTGATAATGTTGCTTGGGGCCATTCTCATAGGCAGCTAGATAAATAAAGGAAAAGAGGAGAAACCAGAAGATGTAAAAATGATCATCCACTCAAATAAAAGTGCCATATATGACTGGAGTGTGTTCCAGCTCTAGAATTTACTTTTGGAGTTATAAATAAACATAATTATTTTTTAGCACTTGTTACACCTGTTTTGTATTCTTCTATGGTACAGGCCCTACAAATTCCAGTCTTTCAGTAAACCACTCAAGCCGAAAGATAAAATAACTTGCTAACTTATTATTTGTTGAATGGGCAATGTCAGGTTGGAGGAATTTATAGGCTAAACTAGTTTGGAATGTGTGGCATGGCATTAAAGTCCATTAATAAGCTAGCAAATAAATATTTATAGGGGACCTATCATGTGCCTGGACTGTGGAGGGCACTGCAGATGCCAAGGTCCATAGGGGTCTTTGGCTCATCAGAAGTTGTCCTACTTGGTTGACGGCTCGTTTCTTTTCTTAATCCCCTGGGACAGAGCAGTCAAATGAGCAGCCCACTCTGAATTAAACCTCTTTCTCTTCTAACCATCTCAACAGTGCTTAGGGAGAATATTTATTTCATTTTACAATACGTACCAATGACAGAATTTGTTTTACAGCCACAGTACTGCTCTATGACCTGAAACCAGGCTAATCTTCTAAGTGGAGGAGGCTCCACTTAGAATCCTCCTAAGTGGAGGAGTAAGCTCTTGATACACATTTTAGAAGCATTGTTACTTTCTCAGGTTGGATGCTGACAATGCAAGGCAGTAAGTAAATATATGTCCAAGATAGGATGTGTTCTGATGGCATGAACTTCACAGGAAAAGAAAAGAAGAGGAGGAGGACAATATTTTGTAAGTCATGGTAAAAAACAGAGAGGAAATGTAACTTACATTTCAGGTCCAATGGTAGAGGATGGAAGAGAAAACAGCCATTCTCTACTAAGAACTACTGAGAGTGGTCCCAGACATCAGCCAGGTTCCAGTTAAAGCACATAAGTGAAGGGAATCATTGATGATTGGTGGTGTATATATTGATGAAGCAAGATGGTTGATGATGTAGGATATTTGCTGCTAACCAAGCAGCCTTTCCTAGGCTGCAGTGGAAGGATTTGGAAGGAGTGTGACAGACTGGATCAGTTACATATGAGAGTCCAGATTATATGGGACGACTTGAGATCAGAAGCATGGTAGGATGCAGGGGCATGGTGGGATTCACCTTATGGTATCAAATGCAGGTTAGGGTGATAAGGCTGAGCACGTGTGGAAGGAGAGCAGAGGAGTTCCTTGCCAGGAGCATGTAGGGCTCTATCCCACCGGTGACCAGGCTGCCAGGACCACTATCTCCTTGGAGCATTCAGGGCTCATGGGTACTCCTTCCTCACCTGACAGGAAAGTTCAGATAGGAAAGATAACAATGGAAGTCCAGTAGTGAAATGATCACTAAATGTTTAAAATGCAGGGATTTGGGGGTAGTGGTTTATGGCTTCACTGAAATCAAACTTTTTTTTTGTAGGTGACTGTTTAGCTTGGCCATTTGCTGCTCCTACCTCAAATAGAAGGTATTCTTTTTTATTTTTATTTTTTATTATACTCTAAGTTCTAGGGTACATGGGCACAACATGCAGATTTGATACATAGATGTACGTGTGCCATGTTGGTTTGCTGCACCCATCAACTCATCATTTACCTTAGGTATTTCTCCTAATGCTATCCCTCCCCCAGGCCCCCACACCCCAATAGACCCTGGTGTGTGATATTCCCCCACCGTGTCCAAGTGATCTCATTGTTCAATTCCCACCTGTGAGTGAGAACATGCGGTATTTGGTTTTCTGTCCTTGTGATATCTTGCTGAGAATGATGGTTTCCAGCTTCATCCGTATCCCTACAAAGGACATGAACTCATCCTTTTTATGGCTGCATAGTATTCCATGGTGTATATGTGCCACATTTTCTTAATCCAGTCTATCATTGATGGACATTTGGGTTGGTTCCGAGTCTTTGCTATTGTGAATAGTGCTGCAATAAACATACGTGTGCATGTGTCTTCATAGTAGCATGATTTATAATCCTTTGGGTATATACCCAGTAATGGGATTGCTGGGTCAAATGGTAATTCTAGTTCTATATCCTTGATGAATCGCCACACTGTCTTCCACAATGGTTGAACTAATTTACACTCCCACCAACAGTGTAAAAGCGTTCCTATTTCTCCACATCCTCTCCAGCATCTGTTGTTTTAATAGAAGGTATTCTTTTAAAGATAATGTTCCTTTTCTCTTCCCTTATTATACATGCATATATGTTTATTTTATAAAGTTGGGTATACAAAAAATTAATAAAAAGAAGAAAATAAAAGTACTGATCATTGTAATACTCAGAAATAACTAGAGTTATAAATGTGTTTGCTTTCCTCAGGTTGGAATGCACTGTTGCACACATCCGATTTCAATTTACAAAACTGGAATTAAACCGTATGCAATGTACCTTTTAAAACTTAACATTATACTAAGTATATTTTGACACATAATTACACATCCTTTGAAACTGCATATAATTCCACCATAGAGGTGTATCATAATTTATGATTGGACATTTTGATTAAAAGCCAGCAATACAAACCTTTATGTGTATATCTCTGACTGTTCCCTTAGGATAAGTTCCCTAAAATAGAATTATTGAATTGAAAGGTACAAATAATTGTAAGTTTCTTGACTGTGATCTTGAACATTTTTTATACAGATTTATTTCTCTTAATTAAAGTAGCACTATTATGATAAGTAGTGACTAGTAACCATTTCCAGGTACAAACCGTGACATATTCTTGTGAACTTCATATCTATAACCATACTTAAAATTTTTAAAAATAACTCATGACAGAGCAAGTCCTGGCAGCAAAATCAACAGTTCTGGCTGTTAGTGTTAATTCCCTTCTGCACCAACCAGCTATTTTCCCTTCAGCTCAGCTATTTGCTCTTGCAAACTTACTTTTTCAAACCCTAGCAAAATTTCTTCATCTTCTCTAAAATTAATGTGTTGAATAGTAATCCTCAACTTTCCTTCTAATGGTAAAATTCTATTATTTTATTCTTTGTCATTTGGTCATAAAAATTGTTTCAAAAGAAATACAATGTTAAGATATTTCTGAAACAAAGTACAGGCTCAATAAATATTTGTTGAATAAGGGGAAATGAAAATTATAAAATGAGATATATATAATTAAGTTAAATATTTTTTAAAAATGTAATTAAACAAATTAAATTCCACTCGAAGAATAATTTACAGAGTGTCTTCTCTGGGAAATAATCTATGTTAAGTATTATGGAAGACGGAAATACAAACAGAAAAATAGTTCCTGCCCTGAAGTATTTTTGCAACAAGAACCATACTTTTTTTTTTTTTTTTTTTTTTGAAAGAGTCTCATTGTCACCCAGCTGGTGTGCAGTGGCACGATCTCGGCTCACTGCAACTTTCACCTCCCTGGGTCAGGTGATCCTCCTGCCTTAGCCTCACCAGTAGCTGGGACTACAGGCATATACCACATAGCCCAGCTAATTTTTGTATATATACATTTTTTTTTGTAGAGATGGGGCTTCACTGTATTGCCCAGGCTGGTCTCAAACTCCTGCACTCAAGGGATCCACTTGCCTTGGCTTTTCAAAGTGCTGGGATTTCAGGCATGAGCCACTGCATCTGGCCCCATACATTAATTTTGATGGGGGAAATTTATAAATAAATAGGAATTATACCAATTGCTCTTAGGGTGTTTAATCTCATAAAGAGACCCAAAGTTTGTGTACTCAGATGAAATAACACTAATAAAATGTCAAGAAAAATTTTGAACAATTTTTAGCATAACCAATACAACTAAGAAATTTTGCAGGAGGTGTTATATTTATCCTAAGTGCAAAATATTAGGATAAAAATATCAGAAAAAAATAATAGAAAAACTGTTCTCAGTTTTGGTAACATGACTACTCAGGGGACAACTAAGAAAGCCACAAATCCTAAATCAGAGTTTAGAAATATCCCTGAGTCTCAAAATATACCTTCACACTTACAACTATATTAAAGTGGCAAAACTCACATTTCAGGCATCTTGGAAATGGTTTCTGGATAAACTATGCAAAAACAGATATGCATTTGCATGGTATGCCTAATTGTCAGTTTCCTATTTTGCCATCGCTCTGAAGATCTTTTTGGCCACATTCAGTGAAAACAACATGATATTCAGCAAATTAATCTTCTGGATGTTTTAACTTGGGCTCTTGTGGTTTATTCTTGTTGTTAATAATTTTTAATTTGCTAGGTCACTTTGTACTCTTTGCCACTAGTTAGCATATCCTAGTTTTCCCAAGAAACACTTGAGTACAAAACCATTACTTAAGACCCAGCCTTAATGCCCATGACTTAGAAGGTTCACTTGGAAGCCAAAAGAGCAGAACTAATATACAAAGCTTGGTGTATCTTGTTGCCTGGGCAAGTCGACTTGCCTTGCATATGTGAAGATATTAAATTCCTATCCAGTTAATTAAAAAGAGCTTCATCATGTGTCAGCGCAAGACCTCCAAAAACAGGGCATTAGGAGTTTATTCTTGTTTCAGGAAACAGCTTTCTCTCCAAGTTTCTCACACATTTCAAATTTGTTGTTTTTTAGAAATACCTACTGGTCCCCTGTCTATTTCTTTTTAGCAGACTAAATTATAAAGAAGCCAATTTATTTTATAAAGATGTTTCTGGGAGATATCATTAGTTGGTTTCAATTAATTCAGATTGTACAATTTTTTTTTCTTCTATTTTAAGGCTGAAAATGTACTAGTTCAATTTCAAACAGGTTAATGACAATATTTTATAGAGAGACATTGTGGAGTAGCTTTTAAGAGCTCAGGAGCTGCTATTCAATAGATACAAATAGCTCCATTTTTTTAACTATCTGATTGACCTGAACCTTGGATAAAGTTATTTAACTGTTCTAAACTGGAATGTGCCAGACATTAAACGAATTGTACCTGCCTATATGGTTGTTTCCAGAATTAATGCCTACAGTCCATGTACTGCAAGGTGTTTGGTACAGTGTCCGGAGCATGAGAAAGTCTCCAATAACAGTTATTATTATTACTTATGACCATGAGGTAGAGGGGTATGTGTGAATTTTTAAAGTGCTTCACAATGAACCACTGACAAAAGGCAACACCGACATTGACATTTCCCACCTGCTATGCCAAGGTTTTCTCACACTGTCTTACGAATAGTTAAACAAAAACCTATATAAAAACTGAACATCCTGAGATTTAAAGTTAAGGTAAGATGGCCAGGCATGGTGGCTTATGCCTGTAATCCCAGCACTTTGGGAGGCCGAGGCAGGTGGATCACCTGAGGCCAGGAGTTCAAGACCAGCCTGGCAAATTTGGTGAAACCCTGTCTCTACTAAAAATACGAAAATTAGCCAAGCATGGTCATGGGCACCTGTAATACCAGCTACTCGGGAGGCTGAGGCAGGAGAATTGCTTCAACCAGGGAGGCAGAAGTTGCAGTGAGCCAAGATTGCATCATTGCATTCCAGCCTGGGCAACAAGAATGAAACTCTGTCTCAAGAAAAAACAAAGGTAAGACAACAAATTGACTCTAGGAGAACTGTTCTTGTTATAATCCAATTTCAGTTCAGAGTCTTAATGTAGTGAAATCTGAGCCCTGACAAACTATTGAATTCACTAAAACAAAATCTACTAAAATATAATTATGGCTTAGGCTTTAAATTTTCCGTTATGTGGTTCTGTTTCTAGGTTCTTTGCCCTATTCAATTGGTCTGTTTGCCTATCCATGTACCAAGAACAACTTATCTTAATTACCACAACTTTCTATGTCTTGTAGGGCAAGAACACCACCTTGTTTTTAAAAATTGCTTGGCCATTTTTTCTCTTATGTGAATTTTATGATCAGCATATTAGTGGGGTTCAACTTAAAATTATGTTAAATTGACAGATAAATTTGACGAGGACTGATATCTTTATGGTGTTGAATCTTCCCATCCATGAACATAGTATAATTCTCCACTTATTTCAATCCCCTTTTGTGTATTTTGATTTTTTCTTCATTAAAATCTTGCAAAACTTCAGTTATATTTGTTCCTAAGTATCATATAGGTTTTGATGCTATTTGCAAAGGTACCCTGAAAGAATACATATTCTGATTGTTTTTATTGATATATAGAGACAAGGTTTTTGGTCATTGATCTTATATACAGGACTTTTTTGGATCTTCGTTAGTTCTAATGGTTTGTATAGTCTCTTGGACTATCATATCTGAATTATAATATTTTATTCTTATTTTTTGATTTCTCTATATATTTTTAAAACATATATATATAAATCAAAAAACAAGATGTTATAATTCAATATAATATCTTTGCCCTATTGTGTTGGCTTGGACCACTGGTATAATGGTGATGTGGTGATGGGGTGTCTTTGACTTGTTTATTCCTTTAAATTGAATGCTTCATTATTAATTATGCATTTGCTGAAGATTTTTGTTAGCTGACATATCTATTTTTATTCTGATCACTTTTTTAGGGCAGTTTACGATATCTATATGATCACAGCATTCATCCATTGGCTGCTCTACTCTCTTCTTAAGCTATTATTTAGACTTAGTTCTCTATTTTGATTGTTTAAAACTTAGTTACCTAGTAAAGTCCTCAGGAAGGGCTCACTGGGATAATATTCCATGTAGTCTTGAATGTTGATGAAAGTTTGTGTGTATCTTTTATTCTCTAAAGTCTGTTTTAATAAATATAAAACTCTGAGCTTATACTTTCTTGTTTTAAACAGCTTACTGATGCTACTCTATTTTCTTCAGAAATAACGTGTTGCTGTTAAAAGTCTGGTGGAAATCTAATTTTATTTTCTTTATAAGTCACGTGACTTTTCTTTTCTAGATGACCATAGGATTTTAAAAAAATCTTTATTAATTTTATTAGAATTTTTTTTGATATTGGTCATTCTGGGTCAATAGTCTCAGGTAGTCAGTATGTTGTTTCAATATGTTGCTTTAAATCTTTTTTTAAATATCAGGAAAGTTTTCTTTAATTATAATTTTGTTCTCTTCTTGCTTTGTTTTTTTCTTCAGGGACTCCTAGTATCTCTATATTAGATATTCTTTGCTATTTTTGTATTTGTTACTTTCTCTTGAACCCCTTTACCTCATTATTCTCCTTTGACTTTAAGAAATGTTCCTTTCTGCCTTCTGTTTCCCTTAACTATGTGTTTTCCACACTGTATCCTAGTTTAGTCTTCATTTTCAAAATGATATGTTCTTTTATTTCTAATTATTTTCTATCACTTCAGTTCTCAGATTTAAAAATTCTGATTTTTATTGCTTCTTCATGTCTTGTATACTTTAATGTCTTTGAGTTGATTTTGAAACGGAAGTTGTATTTTGTTTTGTTTTGTGGGTATAACTTTTTAAGCATGCTTTAATCATCTCTGAAAATAATATTGAGCTCCTTATTGGCTCATTTCTTTTTTTAACTTTATTTTATATTCAGGGGTATATGTGCAAGTTTGTTAAGGTAAATTTGTGTCATTGCATCATAGGGGTTTGTTATACAGATTATTTCATTACCCAGGTATTAAGTTGAGTACCCATTAGTTATTTTTCTGATCTTCTCCCTCCTCCCACCTCCGCCCTTTGAAAGGCTCCAGTGTGTGTTGTTTCCCTCTATGTGTCCATGTGTTCTCATCATGTAGTTTCCACTTTTAAGTGAGAATATGCAGTATTTGGTTTTCTGTTCCTGCATTAGTTTGCTAAGGATAATGGCCTTAGCAAATGCAAAGGACATGATCTAATTCTTTTTTATGGCTGTATAATATTTCATGGTGTATATGTACTGCATTTTTTTATCCAGTCAAAACCACAATGAGACACTATCTCACACAGTCAGAATAGCTATTATTAAAAGTCAAAAAATAACAGATGCTGGTGAGGTTGTGGAGAAAAAGGGAATGTCTATACACTGCTTGTAGGAGTGTAAATTTTATGTAATGTTAAAAATATATAATTGCTTGTTTCTTGATATTTCTTGGTTATCTTCCCCAACCAAGAATCTTCTGTTTTAGGCTCTGTTTTCCCCAACTTGTTCATTTTTTATTCTATTTCTAGTGGTTTCTCCATAGGTGTTTCCTGTATTAGAAAGGAACCCATTTCAGTTTTGAGATTTCACAACAGTTAAGCTGCTCCAACCCCTTTAATCCTTACTTCATGCTCTTTCAACTCACTTGGTATTAGGAGAGAAAAATCTATTTTCAGTTTCTTAGGTGTTCTCAAATTGGCCCACTGTGGTTTTCAGTAAATAACTGTTGGCTATTACGGGGATCCATTCACCTTTAGACATGGCACCATTTGATTTCCTCTACTTTCTCCTTCACAGATGCCAATACCATGTGGGTCCTGGGGCTCTTGGTGGTTTGTTTCCATTTGTTTGTATCAGGGCACATACCTTGTTGCCTAGTTTTGTTGTAAACATTGCTCCTAGACTTTTGGTTTTGCTATTTAATTGCTCTATCTATTTTAAAGTGAGGATTCAAAAAGATTGGAAAGTATACTGTCACTATCATCACGATCCTCCCAGAATCTCTAAATTGGATTTAAAAAGCAAAAACTACAACTACTACAATAAGTTTAGTTATATATATATATGTGTATATATATGTATATATATGTGTATATATATGTGTGTATATATACGTGTGTGTGTGTGTGTGTGTGTGTGTGTGTGTGTATATATATATATATATATATATATATTTTTTTTTTTTTTTTTTTTTTTTTTTTTTTTTTGAGACAGAGTCTCGCTCTTTCGCCCAGGCTGGAGTGCAGTGGCGGGATCTTGGCTCGCTGCAAGCTCCACCTCCCGGGTTCACGCCATTCTCCTGCCTCAGCCTCCCGAGTAGCTGGGACTACAGGCACCTGCCACCATGCCCGGCTAATTTTTTTTGTATTTTTAGTAGAGACGGGGTTTCACCGTGTTAGCCAGGATGGTGTCGATCTCCTGACCTCGTGATCCACCCGCCTCGGCCTCCCAAAGTGCTGGGATTACAGGCGTGAGCCATCGCGCCCGGCCATATATTCTTTATAATAGATATAATAATGACATATTTAAGCAGAAACTTTTGAAGTAACGGGATAGAAAAAATGTACTAGGCAAGTTTAAATCAAAATATGGGTGGTTTAACATATTAATTTTAGACTAAATGGTCCTTAAAACAAACGATAAGTAATTTTTAAAAAGAAAGAAAAAGAAATAGTATTATTAAATAGAAAACAATTCACTAACAGTGTATATAATAATGAACTTGTATACTCCTAGGAAAATAGTTCTCAAAAATATATAGAGGAATAAATGGATAATTTCAAGGAGAAATAAACAAATCTAAAATTTAAATGGGAGATTTTAACACGCCATTCATTTAATTATGCATACATACACACACACATTTTTTTGTTTTTGTTTTTGTTTGTTGAGACGGAGTGTTGCTCTGTCGCCAGACTGGAGTGCAGTGGTGCGATCTTGGCTTACTACAACCTCTGCCTCCTGGGTTCAAGTGATCCCCCTGCCTCAGCCTCCCGAGTAGCTGGGACTACAGGCATGCACCACCCCACCCAGCTAATTTTTTGTATTTTTAGGAGAGACGGGATTTCACCATGTTGGCCAGGATGGTCTCAATCTCTTGACCTCGTGATTTTTCCTCTTTAGCCTCCCAAAGTGCTGGGATTACAGGTGTGAGCCATCATGCCCGGCCCACATATTCTGTATGATAAAAATTAGTAGGAGAACAGAAAGCTTGACAATACGATAATAAAAGTTGATATAATGAATATATAAATAGAATCTTGCATAAAACACTTACAGAATACATATTTTTTGAAGGATGCATGAAACATTTATAATTTAAAAAAATTTTTAATTTCTATTTTAAGTTATGGGGTACTCGTGCAGGATGTGCAGGTTTGTTACAGAGGTAAACGTGTGCCATGGTGATTTCCTGTACCTATCAAACCATCACCTAGGTATTCAGCCCAGAATGCGTTAGCTATTTTTCCTGATGGTCTCCCTTCCCCACACAATCCCCCAGCAGGCCCCAGTTTGTGTTGTTCCCCTTCCTGTGTCCATGTATTCTCATTGCTCAGCTCCCACTTATAAGTGAGGACACGCAGTGTTTTGTTTTCTGTTCCCGTATTAGTTTGAGGATAATGGTTTCCAGCTCCATCCATGTCCCTGTAAAGGACATGATATTGTTCCTTTTTATGGCTACATAGATGGTTGTAGATGTGCTATCTTATTCCTGAGTTCTCTATTCTGTTTCACTGGTCTATGTGTCTGTTTTTGTACCAGCACTATGCTGTTTTGGTTACTGTAGCCTCGTAGTGTAGTTTGAAGTGAGGTAATGTGATGCCTTCAGAGGCCAGCATCATCCTGATACCAAAACCTGGCAAAGATGCAACAAAAAAAGAGCAAACTTCAGGCCAATATCCCTGATGAACATTGATTTTCAAAAAATTATATTTCACTTTAAGTTCTGGGATACATGTGCTGAATGTGCAGGTTTGTTACCTGATCTTTGACTAACCTGACAAAAACAAGCAACCGGGAAAGGATCCCCTATTTAATAAATGGTGCTGGAAAAAGTGGCTAGCCATATGCAGAAAATTGAAACTGGACTCATTTCTTACACCTTATACAAAAATTAACTCAAGATGGATTAAAGACTTAAATGTAAATCTCAAAACTATAAAAACCCTAGAAGAAAATCTAGGGAATACCATTCAGGACATACGCATGGGCAAATAATTCATGACAAAATCACCAAAAGCAACTGCAACAAAAGCAAAAATTGACAAATGGTATCTAATTAAACTAAAGAGCTTCTGCACAACAAAATAAACTGTCATCAGAGCAAACAGACAACCTACCGAGTGGGAGAAAAATTTTCAATCTATCCATTTGACAAAGGCCTAACATCTAGAATGTATGAAGAACTTAAACAAATTTACAAGAAAAAAAAAACCCATTAAAAAGTGGACAAAGTTGTTTATCACCTTAAGGAGTTTTTGGGCTGAGATCATGGGGCAAGAATTTGACTGAGGGGCATAAGGTAGGGGAGAATGAGGCAAGTTTTAAAGCAGGAGTGAAAGTTTACTTTAAAAACTTCAACTTCAGCAAAGTCTCAGAATACAAAATCAATGTGCAAAAATCGCAAGCGTTCCTATACACCAAATGTAGACAAGCAGAGAGCCAAATCATGAGTGAAGTCCCATTCACAATTGCTACAAGTAAAATAAAATACTTAGGGATACAACTTACAAGGGACATGAAGGACCTCTTCAAGGAGAACTACAAACCTCTGCTCAAGGAAATAAGAGAGGAAATAAACGGATGGAAAAAAATTCCATGCTCATGGATAGGAAGAATCAATATCATTAAAATGCCCATACTGTCCAAAGTAATGTTTAGATTTAATGCTGTTCCTATCAAGCTGCCATTGACTTTCTTCACAGAATTAGAAAAAAACTACTTTAAATTTCAAATAGAACAAAAAAGAGCATGTATAACCAGGACAATCCTAAGCAAAAAGAACAAAGCTGGAGGCATCATGCTACCTAACTTCAAACTGTACTATAAGGCTACAGTAACGAAAACAGCATGATATTGGTACCAAAACAGATATATAGACCAACGGAACAGAACAGAGGCCTTAGAAATAACACCACACACCTACAACCATCTGATCTTTGACAAACCTGACAAAAACAAGCAATGGAGAAAGCATTCCCTATTTAATAAATGGTGCTGGGAAAACTGGCTAGCCATATGCAGAAAACAGAAACTGGACCCCTTCCTTACACCTTATACAAAAATTAACTCAAGATGGATTAAAGACTTAAACGTAAGACCTAAAACATTAAAAAAATCCTGGAAGAAAACCTAGGTAATACTATTCAGGACATGGGCATGGGCAAAGACTTCATGATTAAAACACCAAAAGCAATGGCAACAAAAGCCAACATTGACAAATGGGATCTAAATAAACTAAAGAGCTTCTGCACAGCAAAAGAACCGATCATCAGAGTGAACAGGCAACCTACCTGTTGGGTAGAATGGGAGAAAATTTTTGCAATCTATTCATTTGACAAAGGGCTAATATCCAGAATCTACATGGAACATAAACAAATTTACAAGAAAAAAACAAACAACCCCATCAAAAAGTGGGCAAAGGACATGAACAGACACTTCTCAAAAGAAGACATCTATGTGGCCAACAAACATATGAAAAACAGCTCATCATCACTGGTCATTAGCAACATGCAAATCAAAACTGCAATGGGATACCATCTCACACCAGTTAGAATGGTGATCATTAAAAAGTCAGGAGACAACAGATGATGGGGAGGATGTGGAGAAATAGGAATGCTTTTACACTGTTGGTAGGAGTGTAAATTAGTTCAGCCATTGTGGAAGACAGTGTGGCAATTCCTCAAGGATATAGAACCAGAAGTACCATTTAACCCAGCAATCCCATTACTGGGTACATACCCAAAGGATTATAAATAATTCTACTATAAAGACCTATGCACACATATGTTTATTGCAGCACTATTTACAATATCAAGGACTTGGAACCTACCCAAATACCCGTCAATTATAGACTGGATAAAGAAAATGTGGCACATATACACCATGGAATACTATGCAGCCATAAAAAAGAATTTTTGGGGGGAGAGAGAGCATTAGGACAAATACCTTATGCATGCAGGGCTTAAAACCTAGATGATGAGTTGATAGGTGCAGCAAACCACCATGGCACATGTATACCTACGTAACAAACCTGCATATTCAGCACATGTATCCCAGAACTTAAAGTAAAATAAAATAAAATAAATTGTTTATCAATATACCTCCTGCCCCCAAGTAATTTCTGTCTTAAAAGACACCTTGGTGGTCAGTGTTAAGAAAATTTATATTTTTATTTCATTACATGGTGAAGGTCTTATATGCTTATATATAGTGTCTGATCTAGTGCAGTGAATACAGTGCGTAGCAATAAACAATCACTTGTAGCAGTTGTGAAGATTAATTGATATATATGAAAGCATTTAAAAATTATGAAACACTGTAAATGTGAAGGATTTTCATGACCAATACTGGTACTTTAAGTCCTAGTAGGTGTCATACTATGCAGGCCATGTTCAAAATTAGTTGAGGTAATAAGGGTGTATGGTCAAGTTTCTCTTCCTTTGTTTGAGCAATCTCTTGTCCTTTCTACAGAACGTATAGTGGGAGATGTAAAACATGCTATTAATATATAAAACCCTTGGGTTACAGACTCAGCACAAGGACTGCAATTTTCAGTCAGGGTTCAAATAAGGAAGCAGAACACTGTATGAATAATACAGATTAAGGAATGTATTATAGAAATTGGAATTTCCCCAATGCAGAAAGAGCTGGGCATTAAAGTTTGTGTAAGGGAATTAGAGGATCAAAGAAGAGGCACTAACCAGCATCATGAGGAAGAGATGTCAACGGACAAATCAAAGCTTGTAGAGATCTCTGGAAGCTAGGCACATCTAGTTGCTATAGTGGGGTTGGGAAAGGGGGATGGTGTAGAAGTTGGTTGCTGTTTGTGGTCATTGACTGTAAATTTGCAACCAAGTGTCTGATGGTGCCAGCCTTTCATGCCAGCATGACCAGCCCATGAGGTCAGGAATGACTTCTTGAGTTTGCTTTGTTGTCATCCTAGCATATCAAGTAGTGAATGGCATATCACAGTTGCTTGATAAACACTAGGTGAATGAATGAATGAGTGATTGTCACTTAAGTGCCAGAAAGGGGTGGTCTTTAGGATTACCAAAGAGGGGTCTGAATTTGAAATATGGATTTGAGTAATGTTTGAAGTCATGGGAGTAGATGGACTCATTCAGACAGACACACACACACATGCACACACACACACACACACAGTGATAAAAGAATCTCAAGGGTAGAACCCTGAAAGAACACACTTACACTCAAGGGAACAGGTGGGAGGGAAAAAGCTTGTGAAGGATTCTGAGAAGTGATTAGAGAACAAGGGAACCAAGAAAAAGTGGCATTGGAGAAAACAAGAAAGATAGAAAATAAAACTTTCTGTTGAAGTCACGTGACTGCTATAAGTCAACATCTACAGGAATAGTGAACTCTTTCTCACCTAACATTTCTTGAAGATCAGTTTAATTTGCTTTTATCCTCTCCCTCTGTCCTTTGGGGGAACTCTTGAACAATATTTCATGAACAAGAGCACTGGACATTCATTGTTTCCCTTTCCTTTCCCTGGGTTAGCAACATTTTGCATCCCAGTGGCCATGATGGTTGGTTTATTCAGGATGGGTGCAGTTCGAAGCTATACCAATTGTACTGCATCTCTGGGCTTTAAAATGTAGGTGCTGTTGGAGAAAAGGCTTGTGCTTTTCTGCTGGATGTGAAGGTGAAAGATGTTAGCTCTGGGGCTGTGGAAGCCGTCTTGCAACCACAACATAGGAAAGGAGCCAACATGGAAGAGAGAAAAACTGAGAGACAGGAAAGCCAGGGTCTCGTGATATAATTGGAACCCCCAATTAAGGCATTCCTGAAGCAAGGCCTATCTCAGTTATATGAGCTGATAAACCTCCTTGCATTTTAATCTAAACCTAAAAAATCTTAGCCGACATTCCAAGAAGTAAAACATACTATACTTCTTTAGAAAATCAAACATAGATAGATAGATAGATAGATAGATAGATAGATAGATAGATAGATAGATGTCTTTGATTTCTTAAAAGTGGAAAAATATTATTTGCATCAACTAAGATCATGAGTCTAACTGCAGAAACTGATGTTCTACAGGGAATATTGTCATAACTTGAACAAAAACCTTAGTGGGAAAAACAGGACTTTCTTTTTGAATAGCAACTAGCCCTGGTGAGTCAATGTTGACATTTGTAACTCTTTCCTGGAAGGTTAGAAAATCTAAGGATTGACTGGTTTGCTCACTTACCCTGGCTTTTGTTTCCTAACGAATGGGTAATATTAGTCTTTCAGCATGATAACATAAAGCAGACTGATTTGCATCACTTGGTATTGTCAGCCCTGTGTGTTTGAGTTTGTTCTCTTATTTAATATGTGCTGTACTGAAACTGGGTAGTCCCTGTTTGTTCAGCGGCCTCTTGTGAGTGCCTGCCTTCTCTCTCGGATTGAATTGAACCAGGGAAAACAGATATGGGATAGTGTAAGAATAGGAGATTTTCTTATTTATTCCCAAATTTTTCACTACTCTAAGGACTTCCAATAGGATTTTGCTCTCTTTAGAAATCTAGACTGAGTCTAGAGTTGAAACTAAAATTATTTTAGTTTCTTCCTTCACTTATGTCGAGATTCTGGACCAGCTGGTCTTAGTCAGCCATCATCTTTTGCTGTCTTTGACTCATGGTAGCATATTATTGTCAGCTTTATTTATTTTCTGTTATTCATATGTATAAAAATTAATAATTACTCTTTAAGTCCTGCCTTTTCATTGTCTGGAAGGTAAGAACAGTTACATGTAACTTCAAGGGTTGTTGTGAGGTTTAAATGAAAAAACATAAGTAAAGAAAACTTGCTTCTAATCTCCATGAGTATTCACAAACTTGGATTGGCCTCCCCAAACTAACTCCAATCCTCTGAACTTTTAAGACTCATCTTAAGCGTCTCCTTCTAATATGACCTCCCTCAGGGCCCCGACTCAAGCTTGATTCCTCCCTCCACTCTGTGGTCATCTCTATGGCAACACATTTAATGTTGTGTTTTATTAGTTGGTTTTCTGATCATTCTTACCCACTAAACTGTGGACCATTTTGGAGGCCAAATTCTATCTTCAATCTATGTATTCACAGAGAATGAACCATGTCTAGAATATTAGTTGGGGTTCAACAATTATATGTAAAACTTTCAAAGGAAAGGAATTAACATTAAAAAAATAGTCAACCATATACCAAACACTGTGAAAGGCACTTTCACATACATAATTACATTTAATTCTTTCCAGAAACCATTTTTACAGATGGAGAAATTAAGACACAAAGAGGTCAAGTGGTTTGTGCAAGGTCTCACAGCTAGAGGGTGTTGGACTAGGATCCTATTCCATTTCTATTTGATTCCCAGAAGGCTGCCTCAAAAAACTACAAATTCACTTCCTTAATGACTTCTTTACTCTTCGGAATTTTCTCAATCTGTCATGTCTCTATGCTTTTCAAAGGGGTCAGAAATATATTATACATGTAATATATGTATAAATATAACAAATATGTTTAACGACATTTGAAAGACAACTTGATTTTTGAATTAAAAACGTTTTCTTCACATAGAACCTTTAAATGCATAATTGCCTTGACTTGAGTGGATTATCTGAATTATTGGTTGGCTCCGAACACTCTGCTTTAGAGTTTAAGTCAAATTATTTTGAGTACTTTACTATCGACTTACTGTAATATCAGGCCATAATGTTTGCATTGTGGGTGTTAAAACATAATCATGTTGATTTCCATAGATGTAAATGAATATTGGTGGTGTATGCCGACAATTCATTGTATAATGGCTAAACGTTTGCTAAGAAAAATGGATTCATTGTTTTACAAAGAAAATGAAGTTTTCTTCTCATAAATCCTTCTTATAAATTTCAAATTTACAACTCAAAGGAATTTTAGGTCTTAAGCACAGAATAAGACCCTAAGGAAAAGAAGTGCACCACAGTGATTAAGGAAACAGACTGAAGGCAGAAAGACCTGAGCTGAAGTGATTTCTGTCTTTGCTAATTACTTGCATCATGACTTTGGGTGTATTACTTATCTTTTTCAAGCCTCAGTTTCCTCATTGGTAAAATAGGCATAATAAGAGTGCCTACCCTATAGGATTATTGGGAGAATGGAATGGCATCCATGTAAAAGGGTTGAGCATAGTGCCTGGGCCCCTGCTGAGCATTTAATAGCTATTAGCTACTGTTTCTCTTCATAACTAAGTCTTAAACAGTTCAATTATGGCTACCTGACCATTTAAAAAAGCTTTAAATTCCCAACCAGTATGGACAAGCCTAACCACTAGAGACATGTACAGAGGAGTCAGGAAGCTTGGCCCAGCTAGACTAGGGGCAATTAGGGTGAGTCCCATACCAAAGGCAATGAGTAAAGTGAATCTTAAAGGGAGAAGAACTCATTAGAAAGGAAAAGAAGAATTGGGGTGGGTGTGAGGAGGACAAGCTGGCCTAGGAATATTCCTGGGCACTAGAGGGTCAGAAATTTACTTTTGCTTATTAGTTTCAATCTCATAGCATTTAAACATTTTATCCCTAAATAGAATGATGAATAGTTACTTTTTGAAACTGTACAAGAAATATTGATGTCATAGACAATATCTCATTACATATAAAATTTTTTGACATAAAATGCACAGAATGTTAGACAAATTTATTTACCAGGCTTCATGCTGTTTTATGAGGTCTAGAACAAATAAAAAGTTTGTTCTGGCTCTATTTTTTTCAAGCAGGAATGAGTCTGAGAAACTGCAAAGAACTTTGTTGTTTTATGTTTTTCTATAACACTTACACTTCTATTTCCCAATATGATCTTAATTAAATATTAACTCAAAATATTAAGATGAAGACCATTGATCATGGTTTTTTTTTGAAAAAATGGTACTTGTTGCAGTGAGAATCAACTTGAGAATTCATAGTCTTGAAATTTCTTATCAAATACTGATTTTATAGTTTGTTCCTTTTTAAAAATCATGAAACTTTTTCATTTCTTATAAAACATAGCTTTATAAAAATAAAATGAAATAAATTATTGCAAATAAAGAAAATAAAATATGAAAATCTTATTTCAGTTTTTACAAAATTAACTATGCATATTAAAAATGAAGCATACCTGCTAGGAATAAATAATATAGACTGATAAATTTCACACCCAAAGGATTTTTATGTTTCCTTCTACCTACAATAATGAGCCTCTGGGCTCACACTGAGTAGGGAAGAAAGCTTTTAAAAACATAGTCCATGGTCATTTTAAGCTCTGCATTTTTATTCTTCTCTGCTTTCTCCTTCCCAGATTCAAAGCCTCCATCTGTTGGGCCACAAAGTGGATTGTTTACTCTGACCATATGAATAGATAATCCCTTTCACTCAGGTCTATGTCTTTAAAAAGATATTAAATCTTTGCACGGTTGAACTACTTTTATGACTTCATTTCCAATATTTGGAATGTTTAGGTTCCAAGGGTTATATCCACACTGTCGGCAAACAGTGACATCTTTTTTTTTGAAATCAGTTTAATTAAGTTTGTTCACATATGGTACAGAGTCATATGGCATAAGATCATTTGACTATATTTTGGTATTCTTCCAAATCCTTTAAATCCAGCCCTCTTAAAATATAATTAATTGCTAAAGAGGTAAATTAATGTATGGTAAATGTTTATCCAGCAAAACTTCCCTCAGTAAAAGTCACTTTGATTTCCAGTTGGGTTTACTTAAAAGAAATCGCCCAACAAACTTGATTTGGTATTGAGAGAGGTGATATTCTCAATGACATGGCATATTTCTGCTTCAACTATTTAAAGAGAACATTTCTTGGAGTTACATGGAGGGCTTCCATGTTTTGAATTTTAAAATATTGGTTTATTTCCGTTTACTATGACTGAATCTGTAAGTTGGAACCAAATTGGCAACTTTGTGATAACTCATAATAATTGGTTAGCAAGCTAACTACTGCCAATCACTTCTATTTTGTAAAAGAAATATGGCCAAATTAAATGAACTTTGCCCATTATTTTGGCTACTTTGTTGACTAATTCACATCTGTCACCCCTGGATGTCCTTCACTCACATGTTGGCCTGTCCAGCTCCTTCAAAGTCCAGCTCAAAGGCTACCTCTTCCCTCTGACCTCTGTATTGCTCTAGCTAGACACTCCTTCTAGTATCTTAATGGGCTTGGTTTGGGCAAGTATCAGGCACCTGATAGCCAACAGACTGCCTGGTCCAATAGTTAGGTGTATACGTGTCCCATATCTCATCTAAATCATAACTGATTTGGGGCAAAGTAATGTTTTATACATTTGTTTATTTCTGCACATTGGCTTCTATGTATCAAGGCTTAATAAATGTTTATGGAACAAATTAAGAATTTTTTGGCCCAGTATTTGGCTCTTACAATTAGTAATCTTCGTGGCAGCTCCTAGTGTTCTGAGAAATAATAATCAATATCAATTATAAAGTGCTTAGAGTGCTCCTGGCATCTAACAAGGCATTTTATTTATGTTATCTCATTATTTTAAAAATAACTCTCTATGTTAGGGTTTATTTTCACTGTTTTTTTACATGAAAAATGTGAAGCTCAGAAAAGTTAATTGACTTGCCTGTGATTACTCCTCTAGTGTTCAACATAAGTGGAATTCAATCACACATCTTTGTGATTCCATAGCTTGTACTTATTTTGTGAACAAATAATGTCCCTCAGGAATGATTACCATTGTACAGGTAAGAGAACTGGAACCAAGAGAGCTTAATAATCTTGCCCACGGTTATACAGAAAATAACCACCGCTGAAGCTTGTGTTCATTTATCTTTACTAGGTGAGTTTTTCACTGCCTGTTTCCAACTGAATTTTCTTAACTCAACATAATAGTATTAGTTACCTGTCACACTGTTGGAATGGGGCTCAAATTTTGAAAAGTACATTATTACTGTTCATCCTCTGGGATTACTTAAACAATTCTATTCATTTTAGATGTTTATTTATTACATTTGTTCCTGATGCTTGGTGAAAATAGGATAATACAACAATATCTTCTTTCCTTGTTTTCCCCCTTTGCTTCTGTTGACTCTTTAAGTATGTTCTTTAAAGAGATGAATTAAGATATGTGCTTCTGATGTCACCACAAATAAAAAGACCTACAGAGATGTCCATGTACCTCAGAATCATCTTTGGTTATTTAGCAGGAGTATTAGTTTAAACATGGTGTGTCCATGGCACACTGGATAGATTTTGAGGAAGTGGAGAGAACATTAATGACAAGATAGGGGCTCAGGAAGGAAGTGAGAAAAGAAAGTAAAAAATACATTGTATCCAAGTGAAAAATAAGTTAGATGTATGGCCTTGGAATCAAGATAAAAAAGAGGGGAAATTCTATATGTGGTTATTTATAGTATAGTTATGTATGTTCATAGCAACATTGTTGCTCAGAGTGCTACTAATTTAGAGACTTTATACTAACTTAGAAATTTTTCTTTTTTTTTTTTTTTCAAAGAATGCTGAACACTGCTTAGGGAAAGAGGAATATTTACAGTTGACAGAGAACTGTCAGGACAGGTCTTCAGGGGCTCAGGCTGAACATGGGGGAAGATTCCTCTAGTACATGGAGTACTTAGAGTGAGTACCATCACTGCCTATGTCTAGGCATCTATTCCTGAGCCAACCTATGCATGGACCAAAACACCTTGAACAGGTGATCTCGGAGATGCCATACTGCCAGTGTGGGTGTTTGGAGCAGTTAACCCTTGTCTTTTTAGAGGGTATCTGCCAATCACTCCAAGAGCCCTTGTTAGGTTGACATCAGCCCAAGCCTCCAGCAGGCCAGGGATTAGGATCCGTGCATGTTATGGGACTAGAAAGTTCATGTCCAGAAGATCCAGGTGGCTGAATGTTTTCTTTGGTAACATAAATGTGACCTACTGGAAATGAGACATATAAAGGCAGTCTGAGGTCAGATTCCTATTTTTCTCTTGCCTACCCTGTAGCTCCAGTTCTTAACCCTGGCTGAACATTGGAATCAACCTTGGAAAATTTAACAAATAATGATGCCTGGGCCACACTGCCAAATATTCTGATTTAATTGGAATGAGGTGTAGCTGTAGAATGGGATTTAGATAATCTCCTCAAGTAATTTTAATGGGCAACCAACACTGAGAGCCTCTGCCCTAAAGGACATCTTCCTTCCAGATATAACACATATTTATTTTGCTTTCCTTCCTTGCTGGCACTGCCATGGACAACATCCATTTTTCTGACAAAACACAAGTGACCTGACTTTGTCCTCTACAGCTGAGAAAAAGGGATAAATCTGAGCATTTTTATAAAATTAAATGTAGCAACTACAAATAATTACCAGTACACTGTTAAGCTTATTGTGGATAGAGTTTTGCTAACAAAGAGAAGCATTTTCTACTTACTAGAAAGGCATCATCAATCATTAAATGTATAATTATAATATTAATATGCCTTTCAGGAAAATGCAAAAGACATTTAATAAAACAGGGCATTACTTCCTGAGTATCTAATTAATTAAAATTATTTTAATAATTACAATAAGGATACAATTATTTTAATAATTACAATAAGGATACAGATAATGTGAATGTATTTGTGAAGACTGGGGCATATATAGCATGGGAATGTTGTCAACTACATATCATTTTGATATTTCCCCATTTTTACTTACTTTCATATACATTATATAATAATATTTTCTGGCCAGGGACAGTGGCTACCACGTTTAATCCCAGAGCTTTGGGAGGCTGAGGCTGGAGCATTGTTTGAGTCCAGGAGTATGAGATCAGCCTCGGCAATATAGTGAGACCTCATCTCTGAAAAAAAAGAAAAACCAAATAGCTGGGCATGGTGGTGTGTGCCTGTAGTCCCAGCTACTCAGGAGGCTGAGGTAGAAGAATCACTTGAGTCCAGGATTTCAAGGCTGTAGTGAACTATGATTGTGCCACTGCACTCTAGCCTAAACAACAGAGTGAGACCCTATCTCTTAAAAAAAATTTCCCATAACATTTGGAGTTTAATTATGATTATATTAAAGTAAATGGCAAGTAGTAAAGTAATAGTCATGACAATAATGCTGGAGATTATGATTTCAATATTACACAAGCACCATGAAAATTGGATTTAAGTGGAATTTTTATTAGCAAACTTCCTTTCAATGCACTGGGAAAATCTAATATGAAATATATTTTATTTTGAGTCTTTTTATAAAGTGAATTACTAAAAATATGTTTTTGCATTGATTTGAATTTCCATATACTTTTTTCAAAGTAATTATTAAAATATTGTTTTTCCTTTCTTAAAACACATGTTTCATCACCTATTCCAACTTGATTGCCATTTATTTCTATTCCAAATATTAGGGTGGCAATATCTTGTGAGTGCACATCTGATGCTTATTTTATTGCATATGGTTAGTGGGATAAAATGACTTCTCAGAAATTAGAATTTGGGTGTTTTGTGACCTTTTAAATTTTTTTAAGCAGAAAAAAAATTTGAAAAATGTAATAAAGAACTTTTTAAAAAGACAGGGTGAAGTATTAAAAACAATATTTCACAGACCAATAAACTTTTCGTTCAAACCACTATTTATTTGAAAAAAGGATATTGATGTGGTCTTACCAGTGCAGAAAACACAACTTAGCTATTATTCCAGTAGTTTCCATTGTAAAAATTGAGGCTGAATTGAAGTCTGAGAAAATGTTTCATAGCACAACTGAAAGAAAATAAATTTAGGTCAAACACAACTGCAATCTAGAGTGTCCTTACCTTTTCCAGTCTTACAACAGGTGGATCTCAGAGCTGAGTTCTGGTGCTGAATTTGGAAAGCACTTAAGAAGAAAGTTAACAATTAGTTTCTTTCTAGGCTCTCTTAGACAAGAAAAGATTCATGTTCTGAGACTTGGAAGAGTAGTTGACTCCATGAGCCAATGAATGAAAAGGAAGAGAATAAAAGACGCATCCACCATAAGAAAATGCTCCTCTCAAAGCTGTCACTTTACCTTGTCCTTGGAAGAACTTTCCAAATTGCTTAGGATTCAGCAAGTGTTTAATTAAATAAATGTATAGGCACTAAATCTGGAGGTCTTAGTAACCACCTTGAGGTTTAGTGCCTATACATTTATTTTAAAATCATTCTTTGAAAAAGACTAATAACACAGGCTAAATAGTCTTAAAACAAATGAGTGTAACACACATGTTTTCAGGCTTCCTTTTGATCCCGTTTGTTTTAAGCCCAAGAGGTGGGGAGAAGCCATGTTGTCTGTGCCTCTGTCTCTCCCACAATGCCTTACAAAGTGTCTTACTCAGACTGGGTCTTGAGAGAATATTTATCAAATGAATGAAGATACAATTTTAAGGTTGGGAGGACATTTATAAGTAACATAGTCCAACCCTCTTATTTTAAAAGCCAAGACAATGAGACCCAGAGAAGAAAATGACCAGCCAATGGTCACATTGCACTTAAGATCAAAGCTATGGCTGTGACCTAAATTTCCTAACTCATGTTGCAGTGCTGTTTCTACTCCTCCACTTTTATAAGGTAAATAGGAAAATTTGCCAGATATTTTTCAAATTGCCCATGGAGAGTGGTCCAAATGGCAGGTGCAGCCACCGGACGTGGTTACTTGATCTGTTCAGTTGTATTTACCTTTCAATATGTTTGCTTTCTGAACAAGAGAGGCCAGCTCCATTAGGTAAATGACTAATCCACTAAAATGGAATCTAAATAAATGAAGTGGCATCTTAGAGCTGTATGCTGTTATGGGGTGGGGGCTGTCAGGGACAGGAGAAGGAAGACTCAGGGAGAAAAACCTAATAAAATGTTTTCTTTTTTTTTTTTTTTTAAACAAAACAGCTATGCTTCTCATAAAGGTTTGAAAACAATGCCATTGTGTGTTTTGAGACCAAATGGTTTTTATAACTTCTTTGTCAATAAGTATGCCCTCTTTTTCTAAAAATGTAGGTTAATAGAAATATAATTAGACATTTGCAATTCTCTTACAATAACTTTATCTGACTGTCTCTTTACAATGATTAAAAGATGTTAGAGCATTGCATTCTGCTATGAGCAATTTGTTTCATCAACCATTCATTTATTTTTTTAATTCATTCAGCAACACATGCAGGGCATCTACTGTGTTTTAAATATTATATTAAGTGCTTAGGATACAGAGTCAAGAAAGCCACAGTCCCTGACTTCTAGGAGCCTACAGTTTTCTTGGGGAAGTGTACATTCACATAATTTTAATGCAATGTAAAGTGCTCCTTGCATTAAAGATGGCATAACTCCAATTCTGCGTATCATGCAGGGTAGAGACACTTGGGAAATGTTGCAAAAAATATAATATTGGAGTGAATTTTGAGGTAGGAATTGATTAGCATTTCTTTTAGCCTGGGACATGGAAACAGCGGTTCTGGCATTAAATAAAGACTCCAACTATAAGCCTACACACAGTCCAACTACTCTTATGTCTTGTGAGTGCACTATTAATTCAGTTCTCATGACTTCAGGAGCAAGTGTGACTCCTCAGAGCTGTGGAGGTTGTAGGTAGGCTGTGAGAACTCTGAAACCAGATGGTCTGGCCTCAAATGCCCAGCATCATGACTTGCTAGCATGTGTCTCTCCTGTGTTTTAGTTTCTTCATTTACTAAGGGTGATGACAATAGAAGCTATATCTAGAGCTGATGTTGAACCCATGTGCCCTTGTATGGTCTTATCGTCTTATCTACTTCTGGCTGGCATCTGTTTAGGTCGCTTGATGTCTGGACTATATAGTCTGTGAGGCATTTTGAGGATCTCTATGATTGACTCATAGAGTTACTGTGAGATCCAAATAAGAAATACATGGTGAAGATTTATCTTAGTGCCTAGCACATGGTAACACCTAATAAATGTTGACGTTTATTATATGATAGTAATAATATTTATTGTATGTAGTATATTAGTAAATGCTTAGTGGTGTTAATAATTCTGAATATGAAGAATTCCAATAAGGTATCTTTTGCCCATAGTAGAAGTTCTATAATTGTTTCTGTGTTGAATGTCTCATTTTCAGAGTGGTGTTTACTGGTAATATAGTCTCTTTCCTACTTCTGATTTATTTCCACAATTCTTCCAAGATAGGATGCAAGCCAGTCTCCATCTGGAAGTTCAGGAGCACTTTGTCTCTAGTTCCTTCCTCCCTTCTGATAATAAAGCCGTCACCATCTGCATCTTCAGTATCTCCTTCCTTATCCCCAGACCAACATGGTTTAAAAGAGTACTGAGTAGACTAAGTCTCAATACCTATTCATGCACACCCACTTCCAAGGGAAATCACCCACCCTTGCCCCCCTCAACAGCTGATTGAACCAAAGATGGATACCTGACTCATGGGGAACTGATCCCAGATTAACAAGCTAACCACCTATGGTCTGATACAGGAAGATAGGCAGGGCCCATGAGATTCTGTTATGGTAGGAAACACGAAGGGAATTTTCTAGCTAGTAATATAGCTGAAGGAGCGGGTTGACTCTTAGAATGGTAAGCCAAGGCCAGTTGCAACCAAAATTGTGAAAGACCAGAAAACACATGGATTGGAAGAGGTGGAAGATGGTTTTCAGAAAGGGAAAGACATCCTGAGAGTGGTGCAGAGAGAAGACAGGTGAGACATGGGAGAAAAATAAGAAGGAGTCCGATTATAGTTGATGCCAAGGGCTACTTGGGACCCTAATGACTTTGAGTTTTTATTCTGATGGTGATCATGATGATGACAACAAAGATGATGATGCTGACAATGATTATAACAATAGGTAACATTTCATGAGCGTTGTATGTGTTTTAAGCAGTATTTTAAGTCTTTACATGGATTAACTCAATGCTCACAAGAAATCCATGAGGAAGATTTTATTTTATCCAAATATTATAGAGTGCCTATTTGTAGCCTTACAAAAACTCCCCATATGCACTAATTCTTACTCATATACCCTTGAGAAAAAACTAAAAGCCCAAGAAGAAAACTAGAGCAGAGACTAGCCACACTCCCAAGTGCAAGCCCAATGGCCCAGCCACAGTTGCCCACAATTCTCCTCAGCTGCCAGCCATGGTCGACATCTGCAGTACCAGGGTCAATCCCTTAACTAGGATTCCTTATCCCTTTATGACTCCATCGAGCTTATAGAACTGGCTACTACCACCTTGATTCAGACCACGTCGCTGGCTGTTCCCTGGTCCCTCTTCCTTTAGTCTTTCAGGAATCAGAGCTCAGTCCTGGCCAACTGATTTGACTGGGGCATCCTACAGCTCTTTCTCACCGTGCTGCACTCATAGGGCCTTCATTCCCCTCTGTTTTCCTAGATCAAGGGCATAATCTCTCCCAAGGATGGACAGAGCTCCTGGAAGCAGCACAGCAGTCATGCTGGCTCCAAAGAAACAACAGTTGTTGGGTTTTCCAGCTGGAGTTTATCCTTTCAATAATTACCACTGGGACTCCTACACTCCTCAGATTATATCCAAGCAGTGTAGCTGCTCTCTGGTCCAGTGGTGCCCAAACTCTAGTGTGCATTTTCTGGGGGATTCTTGTTAGAATGAAGATTCTGGTACAGTAGGCCTGAGATTCTGCATTTCCAACAAGTTCTCAGGCAATGCCAAAGCTGCTGATCCACAGACAATACTTGGAGTATCAAAACTCTAGAGAAGACTCCTTCTCTAAAGAATCATAGTATTTTAGGCTCTGCTGGCCATGTCATCTGTGTTGCAACTATTCAGCTGTACTGTTGCAGTGTGAAAGCAGCCACACACAGTAGGTTAAAAAAAAAAAAGGATGTAGCCGTGTTCCAATATAATTTTACTTACAAAATCAAGCCATGGCCATGTTTGTCCCATGTCCCTTCCTACTCTACTCTGGGGAGTTCAGTAGAATTTTACTTACAAAATCAAGCCATGGCCATATTAGTCCCATGTCCCTCCATACTCTACTCTAGGGTGCAGATTTGTCTTTCTGTAGTGGCAGCCACAATCCACCACATGCCTCCTGCAGTATATTAATCGCATTGATGGCCTCCCTATATCTACATTCATTGCAGTGTGATGTTGCATATTTCTTCTTCAAGAGGTAGAATCTCTTTCTCTTTTACTTGAATCCAGGTTTCCTGTGACTTTCTTTGTCCAACGGAACATGATAGAACTAACGTAGCACCAGTTACCACCTTGGTCCTCAAGAGGCCTTCCACCCTTTAGCTCTCTTGGAATCCTTCCTTCCCCAAAGGAACAAGTCTGCACTAACCAATGAAGGATGAGAAAGCACAAGGAGGAGAGCCAAGGCACCCCAGTAACTGCAGAAGCAGAGCTGTTGACAGATGCATGGGGGAGTCCAGCCAAGACCAGAATTGCCATGCTGAGTGCAGTCTAAATTGCCAAATTTCAGATTCAGGAATAAACAAATGAATTTTTATTGCACGTCACAGAGTTTGAGTTGGTTTGTTATGCATTAAAAGCTAACCAATACACCTGCTATGTGATAAACAGGCGAATTATCAAAGATCTTCTGAACTACCCCATACATTCAGTATTATGTCTATTTTACAAATAATGAGCCAAGATTCAGCTAGTAAACTTGCCCAAGGGAGCACAGTGGGTAAGTGACAAAGCTGGGATTCTAACTGACTGCAGACCCTGGGATCTTGTCACTGTGCCAATATTGTCTGTCATCTCAGTTAGGTTTGATATCCCCCTCTTCATTTCCATCCTCAATCCCAGCATCTCCCCAACAATGCCACACACACACCATTGTTGAAGACTAGACATTCAAGCCCACCAGGAAAAGCAGCCAACACTGATATTGAGGGAGTTTTGTAAAACAACTCTACAGTTGTGTTATACCTCTTAGGCCAGATTGCCTGTGATATATTTCAGAGCAGGCAAGATTTAACCTCAAATATAGCCAAACTAACATGCTAACAAGCTACTTAAGAAATATTGACATTTGTATACTATTTAAAACTTTAAAAAGTATAGTGCTTCCTTGAAAGAAATATTAATGCACCTTTTGCAGAGCGCAGACATTGGATGAGGATGTAATGCTTCCCTAGACACCCTACCTACGATATGCTGCTGAATCTGCCAGGTCTATAGTCCTTTTTGTGAGCAGGATTTTTGGTCTCATAGATTTAACGAAAGATTGATTTTCTTCCTTCTTTGACAAAGATAAACCTCATGAAATGGTGATTTAATTCACAACACAAAAGCATGAAAGCCCCCCTTAAAATTAAAAGAAGTCCTCACACAAAAAAGCAGGTTCATTCACAGTAATGGACCACTTTACTTTTTTTTTAAGGCAATAGAACTTTGCTAATTCTCATTAATGACAGAGGGGGCCCATTGTAGAAGAACCAATTTTACTGATTACTGAATCGTATAAAATATTCTGAGAAAGAAATGAAATCTTGGTCATTCAAGACCCTCCATGTGTCTTGCTGAGAAATATGCACCCACTGCTGTTTTAATTGGGAGAATAATCAGGTTTGCAGTTTAGTGAACTGAGATAATCACAAATACCATCCAAGTGCAAACCTACATTTCAGCCATGATTAAAGAAGACACTTTCAGGTGATAAAACTGAGCAGCTTGCATGGGGTAAATCAACAGCTCATTGAGTTCAAGGTAAGTGTTTTCAGAGATGTGTTTTTCAAGTCATTTTTCAAGTCATTGAGGGAACAAGATTTTCTGTTGTTATTGAAAGAATTTATTCATCTGGCAAAATCTGGCCCAGTAATTTATTATCTCAGTTTTACGCTTAAGCATCTCAGTGTTAACATAGCATTCTGACATGTAAGATCAAAACTTGTTGTCGACTTAGAATACACACCAGGTTCACAATGCACTTTGTAGATGACTAAGATTCTGAAAAGTGACAGGTAATTAGAATATTTAAATAAAATTTATTTGTTCATAAAGAAAAAAAATAAAACATTTGGAAAATATGGAAGTTCCTGAAGTGCAATCTCAGAGCATTTCCTCAATGGTAACTGGGCTGTAGATGTGGCAGAGAAATTATCTTGCATGACTTACCTTATTTCCAGAACCACAAGGAGCATTTCTGAGCTATTTTGCCAACATAAACCACCACCATAGTTGGCAAGAATTTTAAACTAAGTTATTCCATAGTTAGTGCATGCATATGTCTTAAGCTCAAATTTCTTCGTGGCTTTATTTTAAAAACATAAATTCAACATGTAAATGGGAGGTAGTTATAGTTGGATCTCCAAGCACAATATTAATACAGTGGTAGTGGTTAAACACTACCATGTGAAAGGCACTGCTCTAGAAACTTTGCATATATGAACTCTTTTGATGCTCATTTCAACACTATCAGACACGAAGTGTTATTAAAGCCACTTAGAGATGAATAAGTTGAAGTGCAGGGAAGTTACTTACATACATGTAACACTATGCATAAACACATGAGGAAGTTATACAGATGGATTTTATTATAAATCATAAGAGAAATGTTAATAAGTTTCCAAAAATTAGTATACCAACAATGGATTAAAATAATTGTATACCATGACCGATTGGTATTTACCTCAGGTATGCAAGGCTGGTTCAACATTTGAAAACATCTGAAATAATGGGGATGTGGAATAAGAAAATTTTAAGTTGGAAAGAAACTTCTAAAACAATCATTAGGTTATAGTTTTCTTGACCCTCATATTGAATCTCTCCTGGTTTCTTTAGCCAGTTCAAGTTAACAGAAAATAGGGACAAATCTAGCTAAAAAGGAAATGTAATTTTACTTGTCACAAAGCCTCCCATGGGTGTAAACTGAGCTGCCAAATTGATTCAAGTTGTTTTAGCACAACTCTGGAACATCTGGGTCTTGAAATACACAACAATTAGTATAAAAATGTCAGAAGTATTTATGGAAGTCTATTCATATCCAACAATTAGTTTGCTGTAACTCAGAACACTTATGACGTTCAGGCAGATAGACACTTTCAAAATAATTTTTAAATAATGAAATTATTGCCATGAAACATTTTGCATTTGAATATGGAAATTTGCATATTTTTTTAACATTTATATATTGAATTCTTCCTCGGTAATGTTGGGACTACAAAAATGAACAAGATTAATTTCCAGACGTCAAGGTATTCAGTAATCCAGTAGGAGAAAGAAAGTATGTTCATGAAGATTATCATGCAGTGTAAAATAGAACAATTCATAACTGAGCAATAAAGTAAGTGCTGTATATATGTTCAGAAGGAAAAACCTGAGATGTCTCATAAAGGACCTGGTGGGTTTTAATATGTGTCTGTGGGTTGGGGAAAGACATTATAATAGAAGAAGAGGAGGGAACTGAAGGAACAAAGGCAAGACAGGGTTAGAAAACAAAGCAAGTTAAGTGGTCCAATGTATTAGTGATTTTTGGAAAAAAGTCCAAGAAAGTAAATTTAATGTAAGATGTAGTGAGATCCATGATCCCCCAGTACACTAGGCAGTAAATGGGATCTGCTGTGTACCAATGGAGTAGGCATTAGCAGGGTGAGGGTCCATTTGGCATTGTTCTTACCCAAACAATTTTTTTTCAATGAATATAACAGTAATACTAAGAACCCTTTCCTCAGTCCTCCCACTTCCTCAGATTCACAAAAAAGTCACCATGACAAATCTCTTTAGAATAACAATCACACACAAAATTATAAGATATAGAAAATGAGAAGAATAAAATTGATGCACTTATTCTAATAGGCATAAATGGAATATTGTACCTAAGCACATGAACAACAGTTATATAGATGGACCATATCATATATCATAAAGAATAAAGCAACAAACTTTTAAAAATTAGTATACCAACAATGTATAAAGAGAATTACACTCCATGACTAAGTGGGATTTATCCCAGGGATGCCAAGGCTCAGGATTCAAAAATCGATTAATGCAATCCATTGCATCAACAGGCTAAAAGAGAAAATCTACATAACATATCAATAGATTTAGAAAAAGCATTTGACAAAATCCAATACCCATTCATCATAAAAACTCTCAGTTTCTATTTATGTGAGAATATAAATAGAGAGGAACTTCCCTAACTTGTTGAAGTATATCTACAATTTAACCTATAGCTAATACTGTACTTACCCACTAGCAGCAGGAGTAAAGCAAGGATGCCTCTTTTCACCACTTCTTTTCGATATCATAATGAAAGTTCTAGCTAATGCAATAAGAACAAAATAAATGTATATGGATTGGGAATTAAGAAATAAAACTGTCTTTCTTTGTAGGTGACATGACTGTCTCTGTAAAAATATCTGTAAAGTTCCTGGACAAAAACCCCTGGCAAAAAACTCCCGGAACTAATAAGGTTGCAAGGTGGAAGGTTAATATATAAAAGTCAATCACTTTTTTGAACACCAGCAATGAATAAGTGAAATTTGGAATTAAAAACACGATACCATTTACATTAGCACTACCCCTAAATTAAGTACTTCAGTATAAATCTAACAAAATATGCACAAATTCTTTATGAGAAAAACTACAAAACTCAGATGAAGGAAATCAAAGAACTAAATAAACAGAGAGTTATTTCATGTTCCTGGATAGGAAGACTCAATATTGTCAAGATGTCAGTTCTTCCCAACTTGATCTATAGATTCAGTGCATTCCCAATCAAAATCCTCAAAGATTATTTTGTGGATATTGGCAAACTTATTTTAAAGTTTATATGGAGAGGCAAAAAACGCAAAATAGCCCGCATGATACTGAAAGAAAAGAACAAAGTTGGAGGACTGACACTATCTGACCTCAAGACTTACTACAAATCTACAAATCAAGACAGTGTGGTATTGGCAAAAGAACAGACAAATATAACAATGAAATAGAATAGAGAGACCAAAAATAGAGCCACATAAATATAGTCAATCGATCTTTGATGAAGAGGCAAGGGCAACTCAATGGAGCAGAGATAGTCTTGTTAGCAATGTTAATTTAGTGTATAGTTCAAAGTTGCTAGAAGAGCAGGATTGGAAGATAGATGTTTGAGGTGACACATATCTCACTTACCAGATTAGACCATTTCACATTTTGTGATGTGTCAAAATATCACATATACCCCCCCAATAGGTACAACTATTATGTATCAATAAAAAAACTCAAAACTTCGAAATATTATTTTAAAGAAAGAATAGTGTTGAACCAACTGGACATTCAAATGTTTTCAAATGCAAAAAAAATGAACCTAGACGCAGACCTTACACCTTTTACTAAAATTAATTAAAAATGTATCATAGACATAAATGTAAAACACAAAATTATAGAACTTTTTTTTTTTTTTTTTTGAGACGGAGTCTAGCTGTGTTGCCCAGGCTGCAGTGCAGTGGCGTGATCTCGGCTCACTTCAAGCTCTGCCTCCCGGCTTCATGCCATTCTCCTGCCTCAGCCTCCTGAGTAGCTGGGACTACAGGCGCCTGCCACCACACCTGGCTAATTTTTTTGTATTTTTAGTAGACATGGGATTTCACCGTGTGTTAGCCAGGATGGTCTCGATCTCCTGACCTCATGATCCGCCCGCCTCGGCCTCCCAAAGTGCTGGGATTACAGGTGTGAGAGACTGCACCCAGCCAAAACTTTTAAAAAATAACATGAGAGAAATGTACATGGCTTTGGATTTGGTGATGACTTTAAAGATAAAACTTCAAACGCACAATCCATAAAAGAAAGAGTCGGTGAGCTGGATTTGATTAATATAAAAAAATTCTACTGTGCTAAAGATACTATAAAGAGATTAAAAAGAGAAGCCACAAACTGGGAGAAAATATTTGCTAAATGCATATCTGAGAAAGGACTGTTATCCAAAATACAGAAAAGATTCTTAAAACTCATTAAATATAAACCAAACAATATGATTTAAAATTGGCCCAAAGACCTAAACAGACTTATCACCAAAGATATCTAGGTGGCAAATGAGCATATGAAAAGATGCTTCACATCATGTCATCAGAGAAATTCAGATTAAAACAATGAAATACCACTACACACCTATTAGAATGGCCAAATCTGAAACACTGACAACATCAAATGCTGACAAGGATGTAGAACAACAGGAACTCTCATTCATTCCTTGTGGGAATGCAAAAGGGTACAGCCACTTTGGAAGACAGTTTGGCAGTTTTCTACAAAACTAAAAATACTCTTACCATATGATCCAGCAATTGCACTTCTTGATATTTACTCAAAGGAATTGAAAACTTATGTCCACATAAAAATCTGCACATGAATGTGTATAACAGCTTTATTCATAATTTCCAAAACTTGGAAGAATCCAAGTTATTTTTCAGTAGATGAACAGATAAACAGACCGATACATCCAGACAATGGATGTATCATGATGAGTGCTAAAAAGATGTGAGCTACCAAGCCATCAAAAGACATGGAAAAAACTTAAATGCATGTTACTAAGTGAAAGAAGACTGTTTGAAAAACTGCATACTGTATGATTCCAACTATACGATATTCTGGAAAAGTGAAAACTATGAAGTTTTCATAGACAGCAATCAATGGTTGTGAGGGGTAGTGAGGAGGAAGAAATAAATAGGCAGAACACATGAATTCTTAAGGCAGTCAAACTACTTTGTATGTTACTATAATGGTGGATATATGTCATCATAAACTCATGCAAACCCATAGAATGTACAGCACCGAGGGTGAACCCTAATATAAACTCTGGACTTCAAGTGAAAAGGATGTGCCAATGCAGCTTATCAGTTGTAATAAATGTACCACTCTGGTGGGGGATACTGATAATGGTGGAGGCTATGCATGTGTGAAGGCAGGGATATATGGGAAATCTCTACACTTTCTGCTCAATTTTGCTATAAAACTAAAATTGCTATAAAATGTGAGGTCCATCGAAAACATTATATGTCAGACCACAACAAAATTAAGAATCAATTTTTAAAGGATAATTTAGAAAACCTCATACACTTGTAAATTTAAAATGTGCTTCTAAATATGTCATAGGTATAGAAGAAAATATACTGGAAATTATACTGTAAATATTATATAAATAATAAAAGACAGTATGTATAAAAACTTTTGGGATATAGCTAGAGCAGAGCCTTGAATGCTTAAATCTAGAAAAAGAAAGGTCAAAAATTATGAACTAAAAATCCAACTCAAGTTATAAGCAGAACAGCATAAGTCCAAAGAAATTTTTAAAAATTATGTTTAATATAAAAGCAAAAAATAAATGAAACAGCAAATCAACATATAACTGAGAGAATCAACAAAGTAAAAGTTAATTATTTTAGAAGACTAACATTTATGTAGCTGGTAGGATTAATGAAGACAGAGAAGGAAAACTTCAATAATTTCGGGAATGAATAAGTGAAGGAGAGGCCATTGTTCTCCAGTGGTAGTGGGGGTCAGACAAGAGGCCTTGTCAAATGTGGCATCTTTGAAGATGACTCTGTGATGGACACATGTTAAAATAGTCCTTATGATTCTTGTTTCCTGGTATTCATTTCCCTATATAATCCTCTCCTCTTGAGTGTGAGTGGATCCTGATACTTTCTTCTAAGTGATAGACTATGGCAAAGATGAAGGGCTATCACATCCATGACTATATTTCATTAAATAAGACTCCTCCTTGGTACCAAGCCAGCTTGCTCTAGAGTAGTTCTTTCTGTCAGTTGCTGGCTTTGAAGAAGGAACATTTTATGACTCCTTCAGCCATTAAAAAAAAAAATTCTTCCAACAACCCAAGGGAGCTTAGAAGCAAGTAGTTTTCTCTGCCAAGCCACCAGATAAGAACTCAGCCCTTGCTAACATGCTGTTTGTGGCCATGTGAAAACCAAGCAGAGAACCCAGCTAAGCTGTGCCCATACTTCTGGTTCATAGAAATTGTGAGATAATAATTGTGTGTTGTTTTCAGCCAATATGTTTAATAATTTAAATTCAATGTAATTAATATTTGATCATTTAAACAAATCACTTAGCCAATAATTTGTTTTGCAGCATAGACCAGTAATATATGTTCAATAAACTCAAACTTTATCAAATTGTCAGGTTTACAAACTTTTTCATGAACTCTGGCAAACTTCATGGGTATGCCTCAAAACTCTCACTCCTCGGATGTGGTGGCTTCTTGACATTTCCCACAGGATTCGGTTGTAGCTAACTTGTGTAATAAAATACTATTTATTGCTGAAAACAAATGAACTGTAGCTATATGCATTAGCATATATGAATCCTAGAATACTATGTTAGAGAAACAAGTCAAGTCATAGAAGAATAAAAGTAAAAAATGAGATATAGAATTATTCAATTTACATAAAATTCAAAGATTCACACACTTCCATATAGTCATTCCCTCTGGGAGTCTGGATGGAAAATAAAAATGTGGAAGGAAACACAAGGGACTTCAGAAGCACTCTTCAGTTGGATGTGGTTACAAATAATCATTGTATTAATATATTTAAATCTTATGTTTCTTTTCACACAAAATGGTAAGACTAGACTAATGTATACCCAAGTACACACAAACCAGCTTAAATAAATAATTATAAATATAATTGACGATCCCTGCTTACTGTTCCATTCTCTCTCTTCCCTCACCTTCCCAAACACAACCACTGCCTTGCTTTTGTGTTTTTGAATCGCTGAGAGAATCTCAAAGCAAAGCAACCAGAGCATTGGTCATACTCTGCCTGGAGCCTGTACTATCACGGGACTTCCTGCTATGTGAAATAATACATTTCCTTATTAAGAGGCATGCAGAAACCATCCTAACTGATAAATGAAGACCGGAAATATCCTCCTTTAAGACAAAAGTGAAGAGGCAGGAAGGAAGGCAGATGTGGAGAATTACAATGAAGAAAGGGATACTGAAGATATTCTCATTAATTCACTTTGATCCCAGTGAGAAAGAAGAAGAGGGTATCTGCTTGAAGTGATGAGAACATATGTTGTTGAGGATGAGTAATAATTTTTATACACTGTGTATAATAGGTGTGCAATTAATGTGAATGACTGAATAAAGAAATCAATGAATGAATGGAATGAGGTTATGTTTGTAGACTGGAAGAAACCAGTGAAGAGGAAGAGACTGAAGGTAGAGGAAAAGATGAGAGAAATAACAGAGCAAGATTCCCAAGTGAGAAGTGAGAGTGGCAAACTCCTGGGCTTGATCTAGAATGCTTCTTATACCCTACACAGGGTGAGATCATTATTATATTAGTGGCTTGATGTGGGACATCTGCATGGGGACAGAGTAGATCCATCCATACAGAGACAGGAGAAATTGCTCTTATAGAAAAAAATGTAGTAAAATATACTCAGTACAAGGGAAATATGTAAATTTACATTTGTATAGAAAGTATTTCAAGATATACCAGGACAGAAGCCTTCCCTTCATCCCCAGTCTCACTTCCTATAGTCTCACCTGCAAGGCCCTGATGAGATTGTCCACTCCTATCTGCACATGCCATGAACATTGTCAGGCCTCTGAGCCCAAGCCAAGCCATCACATCCCCTGTGACTTGCACGTATATGCCCAGATGGCCTGAAGTAACTGAAGAATCACAAAAGAAGTGAATATGCCCTGCCCCACCTTAACTGATGACATTCCACTACAAAAGAAGTGTAAATGGCCGGTCCTTGCCTTAAGTGATGACATTACCTTGTGAAAGTCCTTTTCCTGGGTCATCCTGGCTCAAAAAGCACCCCCACTGAGCACCTTGCGACCCCCACTCCTGCCCGCCAGAGAACAAACCCCCTTTGACTGTAATTTTCCTTTACCTACCCAAATCCTATAAAATGGCCCCACCCTTATCTCCCTTTGCTGACTCTCTTTTGGACTCAGCCCGCCTGCACCCAGGTGAAATAAACAGCCATGTTGCTCACACAAAGCCTGTTTGGTGGTCTCTTCACACGGACGCACATGAAATTTGGTGCCGTGACTCTGATCAGGGGACCTCCCTTGGGAGATCAATCCCCTGTACTCGTGTTCTTCGCTCCATTAGAAAGATCCACCTATGACCTCAAGTCCTCAGACCGACCAGCCCAAGGAACATCTCACCAATTTTAAATCAGGCAAGTGGCCTCTTCTTACTCTCTTCTCCAACCTCTCTCACTGTCCCTCAACCACTTTCTCCTTTCCACTCTTCAATCTCTCCCTTCTCTTAATTTCAATTCCTTTCATTTTCTGGGAGAGACAAAGGAGACACATTTTATCCGTGGACCCAAAACTCCGGCGCCGGTCATGGACTGGGAAGGCAGGCTTCCCTTGGTGTTTAATCATTGCAGGGACGCCTCTCTGATTATACACCCACGTTTCAAGGGTGTCAGACCACACAGGGATGCCTGCCTTGGTCCTTCACCCTTAGCGGCAAGTCCCGCTTTTCTGGGGAAGGGGCAAGTACCCCAACCCCTTCTCTCCTTGTCTCTAACCCTTCTCTGCTTTTCTGGGAGAGGGGCAAGTACCCCTCAACCGCTTCTCCTTCACCCTTAGCGGCAAGTCCCACTTTTCTATGGGGCAAGAACCCCCAATCCCTTATTTCCACACCCCAGCCTCTTATCTCTGTACCCCAATCCCTTATTTCCGCACCCCAACCTCTTATCTCTGCCCCAATCCCTTATTTCCACACCCCGACCTCTTATCTCTGCACCCCAATCCCTTATTTCCTCACCCCGACCTCTTATCTCTGCACCCCAATCCCTTATTTCCGTGCCCCAACCTCTTATATCTCTGCACCCTAGTCCCTTATTTCCACGCCCCGACCTCTTATCTCTGAGCCCCAACCCCTGTTCCCACTTTTCTGGAAGGTAAGAACCCCTGAACCCCTTCCCTCCATTTCTCTACTCTCTTCTCTAGGCTTGCTTCCTTCACTATGGGCAGCCTTCCAACCTCCATTCCTCCTTCTACTCCCTTGGCCTGTGTTCTCAAAAACTTAAAACCTCTTCAACTCACCACCTGACTTAAAACCTAAATGCCTTATTTTCTTCTGCAATGCCGCTTGACCCCAATACAAACTCGACAGTAGTTCCAAATAGCCAGAAAATGGCACTTTGAATTTTTCCATCCTGCAAAATCTAAATAATTCTTGTTGTAAAATAGGCAAATGGTCTGAGGTGCCTGACGTCCAGGCATTCTTTTACACATCAGTCCCTTCCTAGTCTCTGTGCCCAGTGCAACTCGTCCCAAACCTTCCTTCTTTCCCTCCCGCCTGTCCCCTCAGTACCAACCACAAGCGTCGTTGAGTCTTTCTAATCTTCCTTTTCTACAGACCCATCTGACCTCTCCTTTCCTCCCCAGGCTGTTCCTCACCAGGCTGAGCTAGGTCCCAATTCTTCCTCAGCCTCTTCTCCTCCGCCCTATAATCTTTTTATCACTTCCCCTCCTCACACCTGGTCGGGCTTACAGTTTCTTTCCGTGACTAGCCCTCCCCAACCTGCCCAGCAATTTACTCTTAAAAAGGTGGCTGGAGCTAACGGCATAGTCAAGGTTAATGCTCCTTTTTCTTTATCCCAAATCAGAAGCATTTAGGCTCTTTTTCATCAAATATAAAAATCCAGCCCAGTTCATGGCTCGTTTGGCAGCAACCTGAGATGCTTTACAGCCCTAGACCCTAAAAGGTCAAAAGGCTGTCTTATTCTCAATATACATTTTATTACCCAATCTGCTCCCGACATTAAATAAAACTCCAAAAATTGGAATCTGGCCCTCAAACCCCACAACAGGACTTAATTAACCTCACCTTCAAGGTGTACAATAACAGAAAAAAGTTGCAATTCCTTGCCTCCTCTGTGAGACAAACCCCAGCCACATCTCCAGCACACAAGAACTTCCAAACGCCTGAACCGCAGCAGCCAGGCATTCCTCCAGAACCTCCTCCCCCAGGAGCTTGCTACAAGTGCTGGAAATCTGGCCACTGGGCCAAGGAATGCCCGCAGCCTGGGATTCCTCCTAAGCCACGTCCCATCTGTGTGGGACCCCACTGAAAATTGGACTGTTCAACTCACCTGGCAGCCACTCCCAGATCCCCTGGAACTCTGTCCCAAGGCTCTCTGACTGACTCCTTCCCAGATCTTCTCGGCTTAGCGGCTGAAGACAGACACTGCCCGATCGCCTAGGAAGCCCCTTAGACCAACACGGACGCCGAGCTTCGGGTAACTCTCACAGTGGAAGGTAAGCCCATCCCCTTCTTAATCAATATGGAGGCTACCCACTCCACATTACCTTCTTTTCAAGGGCCTGTTTCCCTTGCCTCCATAACTGTTGTGGGTATTGATGGTCAGGCTTCTAAACCTCTTAAAACTCCCCAACTCTGGTGCCAACTTAGACAATACTCTTTTAAGCACTCCTTTTTAGTTATCCCCACCTGCCCAGTTCCCTTATTAGGCTGAGACACTTTAACTAAATTATCTGCTTCCCTGACTATTCCTGGACTACAGCTATATCTCATTGCCGCCCTTCTTCCCAATCCAAAGCCTCCTTTGCGTCCTCCTCTTGTATCCCCCCACCTTAACCCACAAATATAAGATACCTCTACTCCCTCCTTGGTGACCGATCATGCATCCCTTACCATCTTATTAAAACCTAATCACCCTTACCCTACTCAACGCCAATATCCCGTCCCGCAACACGCTTTAAAAAGATTAAAGCCTGTTATCACTCACCTGCTATAGCATGGCCTTTTAAAGCCTATAAACTCTCCTTACAATTCCCCCATTTTTACCTGTCCTAAAACCAGACAAGCCTTACAAGTTAGTTCAGGATCTTCGCCTTATCAACCAAATTGTTTTGCCTATCCACCCTGTGGTGCCCAACCCAGTACACTCTTTTGTCCTCAATAACTTCCTCCACAACTCACTATTCCATGCTTGATCTTAAAGATGCTTTTTTCACTATTCCCCTGCACCCCTTGTCCCAGCCTCTCTTTGCTTTCACTTAGACTGACCCTGACACCCATTAGGCTCAGCAAATTACCTAGGCTGTACTGCCGCAAGGCTTCATAGACAGCCCCCATTACTTCAGTCAAGCCCAAATTTCATCCTCATCTGTTACCTATCTCGGCATAATTCTCATAAAAACGTACGTGCTTTCCCTGCTGATCGTGTCCGATTAATCTCCCAAACCTCAATCCCTTACAAAACAACAACTCATTTCCTTCCTAGGCATAGTGTGGTCAGAATTCTTACACAAGAGCCAGGACTGCACCCTGTAGCCTTTCTGTGCAAACAACTTGACCTTACTGTTTTAGCCTAGCCCTCATGTCTGTGTGCAGTGGCTGCCACTGCTTTAATACTTTTAGGGGCCCTCAAAATCACAAACTATGCTCAACTCACTCTCTACAGTTCTCATAACTTCCAAAATCTATTTTCTTCCTCACACCTGACGCATATACTTTCTGCTCCCCGGCTCCTTCAGCTGTACTCACTCTTTAAGTCCCACAATTACCATTGTTCCTGGCCCAGACTTCAATCTGGCCTCCCACATTATTCCTGATACCACACCTGACCCCCATGACTGTATCTCTCTGATCCACCTGACATTCACCCCATTTCCCCAAATTTCCTTCTTTCCTGTTCCTCACCCTGATCACGCTTAATTTATTGATGGCGGTTCCACCAGGCCTAATCGCCACACACCAGCAAAGGCAGGTTATGCTATAGTACAAGCCACTAGCCCGCCTCTTAGAACCTCTCATTTCCTTTCCATCGTGGAAATCTATCCTCAAGGAAATAACTTCTCAGTGTTCCATCTGCTATTCTACTACTCCTCAGGGATTATTCAGGCCGCCTCCCTTCCCTACACATCAAGCTCGAGGATTTGCCCCACCCAGGACTGGCAAATTAGCTTTACTCAACGTGACCTGAGTCAGATAACTAAAATACCTCTTAGTCTAGGTAGATACTTTCACTGGATAGGTAGAGGCCTTTCCTACAGGGTCTGAGAAGGCCACCGCAGTCATTTCTTCCGTTCTGTCAGACATAATTCCTCAGTTTAGCCTTCCCACCTCAATACAGTCTGATAACAGATGAGCCTTTATTAGTCAAATCAGCCAAGCAGTTTTTCAGGCTCTTAGTATTCAGTGAAAACTTTATATCCCTTACGGTCCTCCGTCTTCAAGAAAAATAGAATGGACTAAAGGTCTTTTAAAAACACACCTCACCAAGCTCAGCCACCAAAAAGGACTGGACACTACTTTTACCACTTTCCCTTCTCAGAATTCAGGCCTGTCCTCGGAATGCTACAGGGTACAGCCCATTTAAGCTCCTGTATAGATGCTCCTTTTTATTAGGCCCCAGTCTCATTGCAGACACCAGACCAACTTAGACTGTGCCCCAAAAAACTTGTCATCCCTACTATCTTCTGTCTAGTCATACTCCTATTCACCATTCTCAACTACTCATAAATGCCCTGCTTTTGTTTACACTGCCGGTTTACACTGTTTTCCCAAGCCACCACAGCTGATATCTCCTGGTGCTATCACCAAACTGCCACTCTTAACTCTTGAAGTAAATAAATAATCTTTGCTGGCAGGACTATGCTGAATCTCCTTAGGCACTCTCTAATCAGATATCCTGAGTCGTCCCAATTCTTGGACCTTTTATACCTGTTTTTCTCCTTCTGTTATTCCATTTAGTTTCTCAATTCATCCAAAACCATATCCAGGCCATCACCAATCATTCTATACGACAAATGTTTCTTCTAACATCCCCACAATATCACCCCTTACCACAAGACCTCCCTTCAGCTTAATCTCTCCCACTCTAGGTTCCCACGACGCCCCTAATCCCACTTGAAGCAGCCCTGAGAAACATCGCCCATTCTCTCTCCATACCACCCCCCAAAAATTTTCGCCACCCCAACACTTCAACACTATTTTGTTTTATTTTTCTTATTAATATAAGAAGGCAGGAATGTCTATCTGCTTGAAGTGAGGAGAACATATGTTGTTGAGGAAGAGTAATTATTTTTATACACTATGTATAATAGGTGTGCAATTAATGTGAATGAATGAATAAAGAAATCAATGAATGAATGGAATGAGATTATGTTTGTAGACTGAATGGAAGAAGCCAGTGAAGAGGAAGAGACTGAAAGTAGAGGAAAAGATGAGAGAAATAACAGAGCAAGATTCCCAAGTGAGAGTGGCAAACTCCTGGGCTTGATCTAGAATGCTTCTTATACCCTACACAGGGTGAGATCATTATTGTATTAGTGGCTTGATATGGGACATCTGCGTGGGGACAGAGTAGATCCATCCATACAGAGATAGGAGAAATTGCTCTTATAGAAAAAATGTAGTAAAATATACTCAGTACAAGGGAAATATGTAAATTTACATTTGTATAGAAAGTATTTCAAGATATACCAGGACAGAAGCCTTCCCTTCATCCCCAGTCTCACTTCCTATAGTCTCACCTGCAAGGCCCTGATGAGATTGTCCACTCCTATCTGCACACGCCATGAACATTGTCAGGCCTCTGAGCTCAAGCCAAGCTATCGCATCCCCTGTGACTTGCACGTGTATGCCCAGATGGCCTGAAGTAACTGAAGAATCACAAAAGAAGTGAATATGCCCTGCCCCACCTTAACTGATGACATTCCACTACAAAAGAAGTGTAAATGGCCGGTCCTTGCCTTAAGTGATGACATTACCTTGTGAAAGTCCTTTTCCTGGGTCATCCTGGCTCAAAAAGCACCCCCACTGAGCACCTTGCAACCCCCCACTCCTGCCCGCCAGAGAACAAACCCCCTTTGACTGTAATTTTCCTTTACCTACCCAAATCCTATAAAACGGCCCCACCCTTATCTCCCTTCGCTGACTCTCTTTTTGTACTCAGCCCGCCTGCACCCAGGTGAAATAAACAGCCATGTTGCTCACACAAAGCGTGTTTGGTGGTCTCTTCACAGGGACGCGCATGAAAAACATGGTGGCTGCTGATTAACTCAAAAATATGCATATGACATCTTGGGCCTGCTCTCATCTTGCCCTTCCTATGGCTTACCTCCCAGGACCATGTTGATGCCTACCAAATTGTTTCCTTTTCTGCTTCACAAACTCCTAGTTTGAGTTCCTTTCAAGTGTGTAGACCTTTACTGCAGGACACTATGTTTGTTGACACAGGGAGTTCAATGAAGAAGACAAATCCTGTCTTCAAGGTGGTTAAAATTGGGCAGGTGTCCCTCAGCCTTGCTATTCAGTTTCCTTGCCCTGAGGTCAAGGAATCACAGACTTTGGCATTGCAAGGAACAATGGAAAAGAACTCTCCTCACGTTATAAATGCTGAAAGCCAAAGGCTTACTGAAGGATGGGTTTGTCCACGGCCATAAAATGAGGTAGTGCTAGAGCCAGAGCCCCTGATTCCAAACCAATGCCTTTCTCTGTATCATGATGCTTAAAAGGAAGAGATGCTCTTGAGTAACTAACATTTAGAAGATTAATAAGAAACAACACAGTAAGGGATGGTAGAGAAGGAAGACATAGTCTTTGTCTTTCAGGGTCTTGCAAGTAACACAGAGTCATAAGTAATTTAATTGCTTTTTAAAAAAGATTAAATGCTGAAATGGACATATAAGTGAATGCAATAGAAGGCTCTTGAAAACTGAGACTGGACTTGATTCTGGCACAGTACTCAGCACCCAGTAGATATTCAATAAATGAATGCTATGAGCATTTGTAAATTACAATGTGCTCATCTCATAGAGTTTGGCATTCAAATAGACATTTACAGATTTTTCTTTGGGAAAGGGAGTTGACCAAAATATAACACTTAAAAAAAAATGGTGGCATAAAAACAACAGAAGTACAAGTGTTGATAGAGTTCTCAGTTGTTCATGTCAAACTCCATCTCTCTGAAATGTTCTATAATCCTCTCTGTGTGGTATCTTTCTCTCAGCTTATTTCAAACATGTATATGGCTTTGGACAAAATAAGACAAGTATTTCCTGAATCGTTTGACATTCAGCTGTTGCTGAAGATGTTAAAACTACAAGCAAACCTGCTAATCGTCAGCAACAAAGCAGGTTAATCCTGGCTGACTGGCGATTTGTTTGGGAACCTTTGGAGCAACAGAGAGATTCAAGTTTATAAAAAGAGATAAATAGTCAGTTAGAGATTAGAAATGAAAGAAGGAAAAGACTTCTTTTCCCCAGACCACACACTGACAGGGAATCTTCCTTGAGCAATTGTTCAAGAATGTTTCATGTTCTTCCCCTCTCTCCTGCCCTTGGCTTCTCCCCTGCCCATTCCTCCTCCTCCCTCAGCCACAGAAGGCTTGACTGGCAGTTGTCACCACTGATAGAGAGAGGAAGATACTTCAGAAAAGAGGGAGGGAGCGGGGGAGGCCGACTCGTCAAAAGCAATGGTCGTCAAAAGATGATTCCCTCTTTCTGTGTGTGTTTTGTCTCTCTTTAAATTATTCAAATCTGGGTGGCATTTAGGATAACTGGCATTTTGACACAGCTTAAAGGATTTTCTCACGAACGCTATTGAACTGAAGCTTCCACCCTTTAAAAAATGTATAAAAAGAGATCTTTTGTATAATCTGACATGTCTACAAATGAAAGTCAGTTTCATGAAAAAATCTGTAAATATATATATTTATTGGTCAGTCTTTCTCCCTTTTCTATCTATTATTTTTTTATTATACTTACAGTTTTGGGATACATGTGCAGAACGTGTAGGTTTGTTACATACGTATACACATGCCATGGTGGTTTGCTGCACCCATCAACCCGTCATCTGCATTAGGTATTTCTCCTAATGCTATCCCACCCCCTGAGAGGCCCTGGTGTGAGATGTTCCCCTCCCTGTGTCCATGTGTTCTCATTATTCAACTCCTACTTATGAGTGAGTACGTGTGGCGTTTGGTTTTCTGTTCCTGTGTTAGTTTGCTGAGAATGATGGTTTCCAGTTTCATCCATGTCCCTGCAAAGGACATGAATTCATCCTTTTTATGGCTGCATAATATTCCATGATGTATATGTGCCACATTTTCTTTATCCAGTCTATTATTGATGGGCATTTGGGTTGGTTCCAAGTCTTTGCTATTGTAAATAGTGCTGCAATAAACATACATTTGCATGTGTCTTTATAGTAGGATGATTTATAATGCTTTGGGTATATACCCAGTAATGGGATTGCTGGGTCAAATGTTACTTCTGGTACTAGATCCTTGAGGAATTGCCACACTGTCTTCTATAATGGTTGAACTAATTTACACTTCCACCAACAGTGTATAAGCATTCCTATTTGTCCACATCCTTGCCAGCATCTGTTTTTTCCTGACTTTTTAATGATCGCCATTCTAACTGGTGTGAGATGGTATCTCATTGTGGTTTTGATTTGCATTTCTCTGATGGCCAGGGATGATGAGCGGTTTTTCATATGTTTGTTGGCCACATAAAAGTCTTCTTTTGAGGAGTGTCTGTTCATATCCTTTGCCCACTTTTTGATGGGCTTATTTGTTTTTTTCTTGTAAATTTGTTTATGTTCCTTGTAGATTCTGGATATTAGCCCTTTGTCAGATGGATAGATTGCAAAAATTTTCTCCCATTCTGTAGGTTGTCTGTTCAGTCTGATGACAGTTTCTTTTGCTGTGCAGAAGCTCTTTAGTTTAATTAGATCCCATTTGTCAATTTTGGCTTTTGTTGCCATTGCTTTTGGTGTTTCACTCATGAAGTCTTTGCCCATGCCTATATCCTGAATGGTATTGCCTAGGTTTTCTTCTAGGGTTTTTATGGTTTTAGTTCTTATGTTTAAGTCTTTAATCCATCTCAAGTTAATGTTTGTATAAGGTGTAAGGAAGGGGTCCAGTTTCAGTTTTCTGCATATGGAAACAGGCTAAATGCCCCAATTAAAAGACACAGACTGGCAAATTGGATAAAGAGTCAAGACCTCCATGGGAGTGGGATCCACTGACCTAGACCACTTGGCTCCCTGGCTTCAGCCCCCTTTCCAGGGGAATGAACAGTTCTGTCTCCCTGGCATTCCAGGTGCCACTGGGATATGAAAAAAAACTCCTGCAGCTAGCTCAGTGTTTGCCCAAACAGCCACCCAGTTTTGTGCTTGAAACCCAGGGCCCTGGTGGTGTAGACACCTGAGGGAATCTCTTCTACGTGTTCAGAGATTGCATAACAGGGTTGTGGTAACAATTCAAATGTAAAATGGCAGTTAATAAGATTCTTGCTAAGATTTTTTTATTTTTTAATTTTTTGCAATTCTCATTCTGTAAATTGGAAAGGTCAATCTACTGTGGAAATGACCAGAAAGGACAAATAGCTTTTCTTATTTTCTGCCTCATATTTCTCCTTTATTAGTGCATGTAACAGAGATGATTATATATTTTCTCCTTTTGAGCCAAAATCCTGAGCCACTTGTCACAGTCCACAGCCTGACTCCACAATTCAAATAAAAAGTAGACACCTCTGCCTCTGCCTGCCGTGTCTGGGTAGTACCAGAATTACCTAAGACAGATGCAAGAGTCCAGTGAAGCATTTCCCAGAATACTTCGGTTTTGCAGTTTGCCACTAGTATTTAGTGGCACCAATTCAAATCCCTATGCTCAGTACTAGAGAGGTCAAAGAGTGTACAGGGAGTAAATATTCAGAGGACATCACTGTCAACTTGAAATTATTTTATTAAGTGCCAATATTGTGCAACCATTGTCTGTAGCTAAAACCAGGTTTAGTCTATTTTTCCTGACCTCAGGAAGAGTATATTCTAGTGGGGAGAAAGAAAGACTTTTTTTTTTTTTTTTGAAGCGGAGTTCATTCTTGTTGCCCAGGCTGGAGTTCATTGGTGAGATCTCCACTCACCGCAACTTCCGCCTCCCAGGTTCAAGTGATTCTCCTGCCTCAGCCTCTTGAGTAGTTGGGATTACAGGAGTGCACCACCACACTCAGCCAATTTTTGTATTTTTAGTAGAGACGGGTTTTGCCATGTTGGCCAGGATAGTCTCGAACTCCTGACCTCAGGTAATCCACTCACCTCGCCTCCCAAAATGCTGGGATTACAGGCGTGAGCCACCGTGCCTGGCCGAGGATTTCGTTTCTATAAGTGAAAAGGGATGATGAGATATGCAGCAACAAATGAATGGTATAGACAAGAAATGTGTCAGGATTTCAACAGTAAGTGAGATAACCAGGGGCTCTGATAAGAAAGATGTTAGCAAGGACCCCTGGGACCACACTAGGAAGGGACAGATTGATGCAGCATGGGAGTAAGGGGGGCTCTACAAGGAAGGAAAGGCTGTGAGCAAATATATATAACTATATATAGAGAGGAATAGCAGTTCTTTCTTTGTGAAAAACATTTCACTGCACACTAAGCTTCA